>NC_000009.12:99129642-99281158 GCF_000001405.40 Homo sapiens
AATCCCAGCACTTTGGAAGGCCTGAGGTGGGCAGATCACTTGAGGCCAGAAGTTCAAGACCAGCCTGGCCAACATGGCAAAACCCTATCTCTACTAAAATAACAAAAATTAGCTGGGCATGGTGGCACATGCTTGTAATCCCACCTACTTGGGTGGCTGAGGCACAACAATCTTTGAACCTGGGAGGCAGAGGTTGCAGTGAGCCAAGATTGTGCCACTGCACTCCAGCCTGGGTGACAGAGTGAGGCTCTGTCTAAAAAAAAAAGATAATAAATAAATAAATAAAATTTCCTGGCAGAACCAGCAGTTTGAAGACTTCATAAACTTTTTAATTTTAAGATTCCGGTTTAATATGGAAGTCTGAGCACATGTATTTAACTCTTACCTCTTTCCCCAGATCCCAAAGGAATATAAAAATGAGGGCAACCTGTATTAATGCTAGTGGGATTAATGGTAGAATGCCACCCACATGCCAGCACTTGTGAGGAACTTCTGCAATTTACAGTACAGATGACACCAGACTAGTAAAGAATTGACTAGCCATATAAGAAAGGTTAGTCATCGAAAAGTCCAGCCAATAACTTAGACAAAGGATTTGGGGGGTGAGGTTAGGGTATGGGGGCAAACTCTCAGTTCCCTTTTAGGAAGCACCTGGCTTCAGTGCTCAGAGGAGCAGACACAGTTGCTCACTCTCCACTCAAAGTTGGTCCAGGCCTTGTGCTAATTAAAGGAGGAAGCACTGCTGTAGCGCAGAAGGAAAAGGCCAGTCCTCCACCTGTTCAGCATGATAATGCAGCTCCCCTGTGGTAAGGGTTGGTCGGACTACAATATCTTTGTGACTTTGATGAAAGCATCTGCAGTTATAATGTGGCAAAGAAAAGGATAATTCCAGAATTTCCCATTTCCATCATTTGAGCTTGAAATATCTGAATAGATATTTACAAAACCTTGTGAAGAAGTCACCTTATTTCTCATGTTTCTAATGAACATATATAAACTTCTCATTTCCAGCTCTAGGATAAGCAAACAGCAAAAAATTACCAATGAAAAGTTAGGAGTTCAAAAGAAGTAGTCTGAACTAGATAGATTAGATGTCATCCTGTGAAATAGGTTTACCACATGATAGGGAAGAACTTTCAAACAGTACAGGGTCTATTTTCAGTTATTCACTATGAAATGAGAACATTTCACAGTTGTTAAAGGTTGCTTTCAGAAGAAAAGCCCAACTGATGAATGTTTTTAAAAATGCACTATTGAGAGCGAACAACAGACTGGATGCCATAATTTTATAGTCAAGTTTGGGACAAGTTTTAAGAAACTGTGTTACAATTCAGAGAAAAGACAGTTGGTGAGCATATTAAGAGATATAGGGAACAGATTTAGATGATCCAATATGCTTATTATCAGAATTCCAGAAAAAGGCATGAAATCATAAAGAAGACAGAATACCAGGCAAAATTAATGAAAAAATATTAATCCAAACACATATAATAAAAAGTATCAATTTCAAGAATAAAAGAATTATATAAGCATTTAACACACATAAACATTGGTTACCTGTAAAAGGTGAAAAAAAAAAACAGGTTCAGATTTTCTGCTTAAATATCAAAGGGCAAATGGAACATTTTTACGATCACCTAAAATTCTTGAAATAGGCCAAGATTTTTCATATACAAAGGCAACAGCCTTCTTGCCACAACTAAGTTCAGTGTACAAGGGTGCATGGACTCTTCCTGAAAGAAATTACTAGAAATAGGATTCTGTATGATAAGAGATTAATCTACTGAAGATCTTAAGAATGGGAAAGATGTGATATGAAAGAAATGGTGGTAAGCAGTAAACCAGTAAGACTCAGGATGAATGTCAAAATAATTGTAATTTTCTGAAACAACCAGAAAATCTTAATTATTAATAGAAGTTACAAGAAAATGATCTGGACTTAAAAGTCCAGGAGGTTAAGATAGTATAAAAAGTATATATATGCAAACTCTGTTAAAAAAAAAAAGTAAAAGATATGTTCTGCCTTTAAAAAATTGGTGGACCTATTGGCCGGGCATGGCTCATGCCTGTAATCCCAGCACTTTGGGAAGCCAAGGTAGGTGGATCACTTGAGGTTAGGGGTTCGAGACCAGCCTGAGCAACATGGTGAAACCCCGTCTCTATTAAGATACAAAAATTAGCCAGGTGTGGTGGCACATGCCTGTAATCCCAGCTACTTGGGAGGCTCAGGCAGGAGAATCGCTTGAACCCGGGAGGCGGAGGTTGCAGTGAGCCAACATCATACCACTGTACTCCAGCCTGGGCAACAAGAGTGAAAATCCATCTCAAAAAAAAAAAAAATTGGTGGAGAGATATATACTGAAATGTGAGTTGTTTAGAAGTGATGAAGATGTATGTGGTTTTTTTTTTCGCTTGTTTTGATATTTTGTTGTTTTTTTTGTTGTTGTTTTTCTTGCTATGAGCATGTACTGGCCTTGGAACAAGAAGACAAGCCAAACATTAAAAAAAATATGATTTTTAAGGAGATGTTAATAGGTATTGTTACAGGTTATTGGTATTAGTGACCTGATGTGATAAGTGGGGAAGGTCCTATGATATTGGCGGCAGTTGGCCTTGTAATGATGGCTGAAGAATACAGGAGTAAGTGGGTGCTGACAGAGCTGGTGTGCATAAAAGGAGGCCTAGTGGGAGAAGACTGATTCACTTGTTCTGGGTTTGAGCCCTGTAAACTGCTGTAATGAGGCTCTTTGGCTAAGTGGTGGCAGTGGCCAGCTGCAGGAATTGTGTAGGATTGGGAAAATGGGGGTTGCCACCTACAGTGTTTTTGTCGTTGTTGATGTTTATTTCACTCGAGGCCCTTTTTCAGTAAAGTCATCACCTGGCCTTGGTCCTGTGGAACTGGCAGCTGTCATTGCTGGACCAGTGTGCTTCGTCTGCATCTCACTCATGTTGATGGTCTATATCTGCCACAACCGCACTGTCATTCACCATCGAGTGCCAAATGAAGAGGACCCTTCATTAGATCGCCCTTTTATTTCAGAGGGTACTACGTTGAAAGACTTAATTTATGATATGACAACGTCAGGTTCTGGCTCAGGTAACATAATTGTTTCTCCTTTTTCCTAAGACATCTTTTTAAAATTAAGCGATACTTATTTTATTAGTTTTCTAATAAGCCAACTTGCTAGAATGTGAGATAGTATAAATAATATTGCAGGTTTGAACCTAATAAAAATCTTTAAGCTTGATGTATATATGACTGTGGCTGGTTTAAAATAGATTGGAACTTAACTTTAACTGTTAAAGCGAATCAATAAGTCAGCTCCATGGTGGTATAAATTTCAAAGCGTTCTCACTTGTATAATCTAATTTGCTTTTCATCACTGTGAGGTAGAAAGGATAAGAACAATTATTCTCATATAGATGAAGCTGAAGGTCAAAGATATTCACATGATCTGCAGCTAACCCATTCTATTCAGGATTGTTTAGCAGCTTGATGTTTACATTTGAAAACAGGCATGACAGAAATGTATTCAGAATTGTGAAGGTTATTTACTTTTTAAACATTATATGAAATTGTCTTTCGTATAGGCCTGGTTTTTTAAAATTAAACTAATGAACTCTTATGTCATTTTCTCACTTGAGAAAAATGTCTAACCACCTTCTTATTTAATGTAGTTTTGGCCCCTAATGACGTTTTCTTTTCTCAGTTCTATTTGTTGATATTTGTGGCATCAGAAGTAGATGAGCTAATTGTCAGAGTCATCCCAAGGTGGATTTTGGCATAGCAGTGCTTCATGTTTAAACTGAAAGGGGGTTATCTTTTACTTTTTCTTGCATGTGGTTTGGAAAAATATTAAGAGAGGAACACTCCTATCCCCTGTGTTTTTAGAATTTGACACTTGGTGAAGAATAAATAGATCTAGGTTTCAAGGCAAGCTTTGTCATTGATTGGCTGTATAACCTTGGTTAGAACATGTTTCCTCTTTGGGCTTCTGTTTCCTCATCAAAAATATGGAACCCATACTGTTGATAAAAACACTTCAAGTGGTTTGTTAAGACTTTTAAATGAGATGTACTATCCTTTGAAAAGTATGAGTCATCTTCAAATAAGGGCTAAATTCATGAATAAAGTGAAAATTTGTAAAGCGTATATAATGAAAATTTCACTAATTTTGGTGAAAGCCCATCTCTATTAAAAATGCAAAAAAATTAGCCGGGCGTAGTGGCATGCGCCTGTAGTCCCAGCTACTCGGGAGGCCGAGACAGGAGAATCACCTGAACCTGGGGGGTGGAGGTTGCAGTTAGCTGAGATCGCACCACTGCACTCCAGCCTGGGAAACAGACTCCATCTAAAAAAAAAAAAAAAAAAAAATTTTCACTAATTTTATAATTGAGTGATATTAAAGGAATGTTAAAGCAGAAGTTGTGACTGGGTAAGAATATAATTCTGAAGCATAAAATCACATCTAATGTTGCAGAAAGCTCATATAATGACAAATGTCTATTTATTTTAAGGAAATGAATATATATTGGTATGTATGCATATCCATTCATTTAAGAATGAAGAAACTGATTTTATTACCTGAATTATTCTTCTATAGAATTTGGCCATATGTATTCAATAAGAGAGCTCTCTCCTTGACTACTAGGACACACACAGGCTCGCACTGGAGCTCACGTCCCAGAAGGCAAGCTTAGGGATTCCTGAAACAGTTGTGCAAGGAAGACAATGAGAGTTTGGACTTAGATGAAGCAGTCTTAGTACTGAAGGTGTGATAGTCTTTAGGCAGGCCTGGTGGACAGAGGTTATTTTAGAGCTTTCCTGGGACTTCCCATTTATTCTCAGTTCAGATCTTCAAAAAGATTTTGCTCATTCTGGAAGTCATCCTGCTCAAAACTGTGATAATCAAGGACCAGAGTCACAGAAAATCAGGATGGCTACAGATATTTGGAATTAATCCCTCAAACCTGTTCTCTTGTTTCTAAACTTATACTCCGGAAAGACACAGCACTCATGCCACTTGCCACAGTGGAATAAGCCCACCTAACTGATTAAAGGAATTGGTGGGTGGGTGGCAGTTGATTACTGGATAAGAATATCTTCATTAACCTTTTAAGATATAAACATGAGAAACAATGGAATAATTCTGTTTCCATTATATATATATATATATATATATATATATATATATATATATATATATATATTTCTAGATCCATGAGGGACCATAGCTCTCTGTTCTCTGAAAGCTTCTCTCCCTCCTTTGATGCCTTACCCTGCAAAAACTTGTCTGCATTGCTTGCTAGCTCTGTGGCTTTGGGCAGTTAACCAATGTCTCATGCTTGAGTTATTTCATCTTTAAAATGAAAGTGATGGATTCTGTGCACATCATTGGATTGTTGTGAGTTCAAGCAAGACAAAATGTTTGCATGAAAGCACTTGGTAAATTGTAGAGTTATGTCCAAATGACAAGTGTTACTCTTATTGAAAACATACTTGGAGGAAAAATCTAACATACAGTATCAGTTGACCACATTGTACAAAACTTAGTTTAAGGCCTCCTTTGCCTGTCATAGTTCATTGTGTACTGAATTCCCTCCAAACCTATCCAGGCAGAAGCCATCTTCTGGTGAATAATAGCAGAAAATGCCATCTGTTTCCCTTCTATTCATTATAAATCCTTAATGCCACCTTAGGCATGAGACTAGTGCCTGTGAATAAGTAAACTGTGTGTTTGTAATACTCTGTTTTTAGTTCTTTCATTAATTGAGGAAAAGGTATAAGCATTTCACATTCTGAATTCATATGTTTATTACTTAGTACCGTGACCATAATTAAGGAAAGGCCCTGTCTCTACCTCTAAAGACTGTGCTTTTAACTTGGGAACTTCAGGGAATACAATGAAGAGCTGGGTTCTGGCAGCTGTACGCCAAGTGTGTGAGTGTGCACATGTGCATATGTGCCAGCTTTTGTAAGTGAGTCTTCTAGGCCAGTGTTTGTTATGGCGTGTGCAGCTTATGAGCTCTTGTAATATATGCATGTTGTTCGGGTCTTATTTCCTGTTCACTGCATGTAAAGCTGTGGAGTCCCTGTTTCCCTTTTGAAGTTTTCTCTCAAACAGTTCTAAAGGTACAGAAGAGTAGAGCAGAGAATATAGAGATCTAAATTAGGCCTATTCAGTTTTGTCTTTAGAAGAAAATTGTTACTTTTTTTTTTTTTTTTTTTGGAGACGGAGTTTCACTCTGTTGCCCAGGCTGGAGTGCAGTGGTGGGATCTCAGCTCTCTGCAGCCTTCACCTCCCGGGTTCAAGCAATTCTCCTGCCTCAGCCTCCTGAGTAGCTGGGATTACAGGTGTGCACCACCATGCCCAGCTAATTTTTGTATATTTATTAGAGACCAGGTTTCACCATGTTGGCCAGGCTGATCTTGAACTCCTGATCTCTAGTGATCCAACCACGTCGGCCTCCTAAAGTGCTGGGATTAGAGGTGTGAGTCACTGTGCCTGGCCAATTGTTAACTTTTTAAAAATGCTCAACTATTCATGTGAAGTAATCCAATATAGATAATACAGTGGATCAAGATTTGCTTTTTAATTTTAATTGACATCTAGAATCCAGTGATAAAGGGGAAGACAAAACCTTTCCTCGTCCTGTTGGCCTTTCTTGACCATACCATTTACACAAGTCCTGAACCTGTCAGGTGTTTTCAGAATTTGTGTTTGTGATTCCTTTTTCTTTTTTATTACTTGTCTTTGCAATTTCCAGATTAGTCTCCTGAAATTAACTCTTAAGTGTACTTTTAAGTCTGTGGTGTGGCCCTCTACAAGGCTTTCATAAAATGTAATAAATTAGTATCTACACTAAACAACATAATTAGAATTGATTATACATAGTGCGAAAGAGCTCTATGATTTAAATAAGGATTTCTGACAGATCTGTTTCTAACTAGCAGCCTCCTTATAAACACAAACAGTTATTTATAGTTATACTGCTAACTACTTTACAGGAGGTGGGGAGGGTAGAGCAAGAGGAAGAAAGGACCCGTTTGAGAAACTTAAGAAGAAGAGCTTCTGATCGCTTTAAAGATTTAACGTTTGGATTTATAAGCATTTCACATCAGGGAACCAAAGAGAGCAGATAATTTCATTTACTGTCATTGGGTTAATTTGATCTAGTAAGCAGCTTTGAGTATAGATTATAAATGACACCAATTTATATGTACATAGATTGTATAAATAAGATATGAGTGAGGAACATGATGTACACTGGCATTTTCTTTGTTAGTGTCAATGTAATTTAAAATGACACTTACCGGATGGTGGATAGGATATTAAGTGATGGTCTCACATATAGTGCCACTTAAATGTTGCAGGTAAGTTAGTAAACCCTTTTAAATGAAGTAAGTATGGCAATACTTAAAAATACATATTTTGGAGAAAGCCAAGTTCCATTAGTGGAAAAACAGTGCTCCATTACCAAGGTAAGTTACTTAGCCTTGTTCTTCAAGATACTAGTGTTGTCTATGTAGCCAGTTGTCAGCAAGTAAATTGCTTTCCTTGAAATAGTTTCTGTGGTGATTTTTACTGACTTATCAAAAAGCCAGAATTTACTTCTGTGTTTCTGCGTTCACATCCTTTTTTCCTCCCATCAGTGAAACTGTTACGAGATTCATCTTTCTAAAATAAGATTTTAAAATTATCTTGCTTCCAGCCATGGCCCTTTTTCTCAGAAATCTTTAAAGGTTCCTCTTTTACCTAAAGCTCTTCATTGGTTATTTTGAGCTTGGTATTCAGTACTCTTCATCTTCTGGTGACAGCTTACTTTCTCTTTTCACTGCTTTGCCACATATATCCTCTCTCTGATTGCCCAAGCTGCTTCCCTAAAAATGTGTCATTCATTTCCCTCTACCTTTGCCTGCACATTCTTCCTGCCTAACCACCGTACTTAAGGGATAGTCAAAATTCAACTTACTTTTACAAAGCCTACCTTGACCCTCTAGCAGGAGTTTCTGGATTCTTTTATTATATTTATTATCTTATTTTCCTTTTTTAATTAGTTATTTTATTGCAAATATAATATCTCCCCAGTGAGATAAATTCCTAAAGGGATAGCTTAAAGTATCAGTTTTCTGGGTCACTCATTAGTGCCTATCATGATGTTTGAAACATGTAATATTGTTGATTGTGTTGAGTACTATTTATTTTTACCTTTAGGTTTACCATTGCTTGTTCAGAGAACAATTGCGAGAACTATTGTGTTACAAGAAAGCATTGGCAAAGGTCGATTTGGAGAAGTTTGGAGAGGAAAGTGGCGGGGAGAAGAAGTTGCTGTTAAGATATTCTCCTCTAGAGAAGAACGTTCGTGGTTCCGTGAGGCAGAGATTTATCAAACTGTAATGTTACGTCATGAAAACATCCTGGGATTTATAGCAGCAGACAATAAAGGTCTGTAACATTTGCTTTTCCTTATGTTATATATAACAAGATCTCTTTAAGTCTTTACAGATATGGTGACTAACCATCATCAAAGTAGATGAGACATAGATGTCTCTCATGTAGATTAGACCCATTAAGTCGAATACAATATATTAGTAACTTTTAGAACTAGGAACTTCTTCAAGATTTTCTTGACTCTTGATAGCATTCCTAAAATCTCTTAATGTTTTATAAAATATAAAAGAGCTATTTTAAAAAGCCATGTACTTTGTTGGTTTAGTTTAGGGCAGTTAGTTATTGAGAGTACTCATGATATAGAAAAGATATATAAACTTGCTCAAAATTTTGAGAATAGGGCTCAGATAGCTGTTTCCTTTTAATCTCTTCCTGACCAGTAGGATGTTTCAATATGGACTATTGACCTTATTAATGGGGAGAGTAAAAATAACTTGTCAGTGTTCTGAGTTGCCAAGGGCTAAATAGATGAATCTTCTGGCAAACTCAAAGAGATAAATTGTTTCTTCAACCACCCTGGTAACTGTACGGACACTTTTCTGCCTATCATGCTGGTGCCTGAGGCCCAGTGTCAGGTCAGATGCTGAAGAAGGAAGGAAGCCTGTCAGCAGGGAGTCAGAATGAGTGGGGACTGCAAGCAGTGACCTTAGACTGTGCTGCTGCCACTTTCTTAGCTTCCGTTAATACCTTTATGCCCATGATTCCTACTTTTTTTTTTTTTGAGATGGAATCTCGCTCTGTAGCCAGGCTGGAGTACAGTGGTGCAATCTCGGCTCACTGCAGCTTCTGCCTCCTGGGTTCAAGTGGTTCTCCTGCCTCAGCTTCTCGAGTAGCTGGGACTACAGGCGTGCACCACCATGCCCAGCTAATGTTTGTATTTTTAGTAGAGATGGGGTTTCACCATGTTGGCCAGGTTGGCCTCCATCTCTTGACCTCGTGATCCACCCACCTCACCCTCCCAAAGTGCTGGGATTACAGGCATGAGCCACTGTGCCCAGCCCCCACGATTCCTATTTTTACTGCCTCTGTCAGAGACTTGTGTTTCAGCTCCACTCTTGTCATCCCTACCCCTGAATCAAATGTATTTCCCAGCTTTCCTATTTAAAAAAAAAAAAAAATGCTGTCATTATCTCTTAGCTTGGCCAGACCTGTAGTCATCTTTTTCCTTCTCCCACCTTCCATTTACTTCAGCAATATTTATTTATTCAAATATTAACAGTGTTTAACCTCAGTTGGTAATTATGGGTGATTTTTATTATTTTTCTTTTAGCTTCTCTGGGTTTTCAAATTTATTTACAAGCATGTACTGCTTTTTTTTGTTATTGACTTTTATTTGTAGAAAATTTCCAATATGTAGAAAAGCAGAGTAGTTACAGTGATCCCTCATCGTCCAGCTTCAACAGTTGTCAGGTCACTGCCAATCATAATTGATGTCTGATCCCACCTACTCTGCCCTAACTGTGTTATTTGAAGCTGGTCCCAGACAATATGTTTTCATCTGTAAACACTTATAAAATGTAATTTGTATCTTCAAATGATGAGGAAATGTTTTTATGAAACAACCACACTACCATTGTCAGTTTTTTAAATGTTATCAAATATCCAGTTAGGTTCAATTCTATAATTGTCTCCTATTAAAAAAATTATTTATTCAAATTATGATTCTAAGTCCACAAGTTATATTTAGTTGATATTTCTCTTATGTGTCTTAAAATTTAGGTCCCCCCTTCATCTTTTTTCTCCTCTCGCAGCTTATTTGTTGAAGAAATTGGATTGTTTATCCTGAAGGGCCTATCACATTCTGGATTTTGCTGATTGCATTTCCATAGTGTCTCTTAACTTGTTCTTCTATCTTTTCTGAAAACTGGTAGTTAGATTTAGAAGCTAAACCTAATTGGAGTTTTATTGGTTTTCTCAAAATACATACTAAGGATATTATATACATCCTATTGCATCATATGTGGAGGTGTATAGTGTTTGATTAAGACGGGGCAGTGAGGTATATGATGAATGTAGGTAGCGATTATCAGTGGCACCTGACAATGTAATACCTCTTAAGTTAAAAACAAAACAGGCCGGGCACAGTGGCTCACGCCTGTAATCCCAGCACTT
Organism: Homo sapiens; assembly: GCF_000001405.40. Lineage (NCBI taxonomy): Eukaryota > Metazoa > Chordata > Mammalia > Primates > Hominidae > Homo > Homo sapiens. Next base: position 99,140,208 of record NC_000009.12, read on the forward strand.
TGGGAAGCCAAGGTGGGTGGATCACGAGGTCAAGAGTTCAAGACCAGCCTGGCTGGCCAAGATGATGAAACCCCATCTCTACTAAAAATACAAAAAAATTAGCCAGGCATGATGGCAGGTGCCTATAATCCCAGCTACTTGGGAAGCTAAGGCAGAGAATTGCTTGAACCTGGGAGGTGGAGGTTGCAGTCAGAGCTGAGATCGCACCACTGCACTCCAGCCTGGGCGACACAGGGAGACTCTGTCTCAAAAAAAAAACAACAACAAAACAAAACAAAACAAAAAATAGTAATCAGTCTGACCAAATCCTTAGTTCTCATTTTCGTTTCTGCCTTTATCACCATTTATTTCCTCCCCCAACTCTTAAAACAACCTTTTCTTTATTTACTGTGTTTGATGACCCTAGACTTTCCTTGTTCCTTCTTACTTCTTCATAGTTGTCTTTGTTTTCTCAACTCTTACTCTTCTCACTGGTTCATATGAAGGTACTGATTTTATAAGTGGTAATTTCTTCCTTAAGAACATAGCCACATTCATGGTTTCAAACTCTACCATGTTGGCAACTCTCAAATCTCCATTTGAAAGCTTAAACCTCACCCAGGGTCTGGATTTTGTCACATTCCAAGTTACAAACACAGCAGCACAAAATGTTGGTGAGTCTGTGCCCTGAACTTCTAACCAGGCTGATGCTGTCATCTGGTGGTCACCATGGGAACTAGCTGACCCTACTGGCTCTTCCCTACTCCCCTTCTTTCTTCTTTGTCAGGGGTTAATGTACTTTCTCTGAGCCTAGCCCCTCCACCTCAGTTCCTTTATCTTCTCCTGATTTAGTTAATTCCACCCCCGGCAGCCCTTTATATTTATGGCCCCTTACATATAACCTTCCTTCTATCTTGTCCATAACCTGTGGTTTCCCTTTCTTCCATCTGCCTGTCTTCCACTTTGTTTCTTGTATTTGTGAGCTTTTCAAAATTCAGTAATGGTTAAGAGGCATGCAAATAAGCTAGTGATGTGCCTATATCAAGGAAAAGCAAGGGTGCGAGTTTGGTCAGAATCAGTTTATAAAGTTCATGAAGAACAAATTAATACTAAGTCCTTTTAAATGTACCCAGAAATCTCCTCCAGAATCTTCTGAAAAGTTTCTATTCCTTTCTTAATCTCTTCTAATCAGAGTTGGTTTTCTTCTTCAACCAAATACCTTCAAAATAGAAGCTGTTTCATGTCAATATGGATTTTTTCTTTTGGTTTACAACCAGCAGGGAAAGAAAGAGCACAGTTTATGTACTTCTTACCTAAAGAATCTAGCATTCCGTTTTTTAAATCTTAACAGTCTTACAAAGTAAGACTTTATTCTTGTATAAAAGGAGAAACAGGCTCCTTGTCAGTAACAGGCAGGCCGTGGATTCCAACCAGGTTAGAATGACTCTAAGCGTCCATCTTTTACTGGATTGTGCTGTCTCCTAATGTTGTAATGCTTTTTTTCTTCATGGCTTAATTAAGCATGTGGTTTTCCAGCTACTTCTAGGTTAAATTAGATTGTCGTGGACCAGTCTAGCTTAGGAGCCTAGCTAGTGTCTTTACCATTATTCCTATGAGAAAACATGTTTTAAACTCGTGTTTTGGCTTACAGAGGAAATTTTGGAACCCACGTTCCTCGTTGTTTGAGTTTAGTCCCAGCTTTTCCAGTTTTGCTCCTGACATTTCAGTTCCTATTTCAGCTTCCCCATGTGTTAGAGGTATCACTATTTCTGTTTTTCTAAGCTAGCAACCTTGGAATCATAATCATCTTGTCTTGCGTCTTTGTGAACTGTGTACACAATCTGTCACTAAAGCTTGTCATTTCTTGTTGAAACTCACTTTCAGTTTTGTCCCATACTCTTCCATTCCCACTGTGGCCACACTGGTCTCCGGAGACTTCTCACCTCCTTGCTTCCCTCTCTGTTCCTTCCTTTTTTTTAACCTTCTCTCCTTCCAGGAACAGCCACTGAGCACCCAACCCGACCCAGAGATTTTTCTAGGCACTTAAGAGTGCCAGCTCTGATACCAATTATCTGTGAAGACTCAAAAAAGTCACCATCTTTGTCTCTTAAATGGGATTAATTATACTTGCCTTATCTCAAGAAGAGGGGCTTACTCTGAGGAACTAAAGGATGTGTACATAAAAGTATAAAACAAACAATGTAGAAGAAAATGTGAAGGAAATACAGACTTAAGGTGGCATTATATTGCAGTGTGTGACTCAGGATTGAGAGTAAAAAGTAATAACCATTGAACAAATAAATCATAAATGGTCTGCAGCCCAACCGAAATGTTAATTCTGTTTTACAGACAATGGTACTTGGACTCAGCTCTGGTTGGTGTCAGATTATCATGAGCATGGATCCCTTTTTGATTACTTAAACAGATACACAGTTACTGTGGAAGGAATGATAAAACTTGCTCTGTCCACGGCGAGCGGTCTTGCCCATCTTCACATGGAGATTGTTGGTACCCAAGGTAATTCTATAAGCAGTTCTATTATTTAAGCTTTAAATTTTCATGAATAATGTCTATGAAAATAGAAGGTGGAGGCTGGGCCTGGTGGCTCATGCCTATAATCCCAGCACTTTGGGAGGCTGAGGTGGGCAGATCGCCCGATCTCAGGAGTTCATGGCCAGCCTGGGCAACATGACAAAACCGCATCTCTACCAACATACAAAAAATTAGTCGGGCATGGTGGCATGCACCTGTAGTCCCAGCTACTCAGGGGGCTGAGGTAGGAGGATTACCTGAGCCTGGGAGGTCGAAGCTGCAGTGAGCAGACATCATGCCACTGCACTCCCAGCTGAGTAATAGAGAGAGACCCTGTCTCAGAAAAAAAAACAAAAACAAAAACAGTAGGTGGCCTAACTGGAGATATTTAAAACAAATTTTTTAGATGAGAACATTTTATCTTTCAGTTCAAAATTTCAGGTAGAGCTAGGAATCTGGAAATTTGTTTAGAGATTCTCTAGTCGTTGTAACAAAACTGTGATTTTTTTTGAGTTCTTAAAAGTAGCATTCAATCTTATGATTTTTGAGGATCTCAGTTTCAGAATTCAGGTCCAACTGAATATATTTTTATGTGTAGTATCAAATGAAATGTGAAAGTGCTTTGTAAACATCAACATGCTAGGTAACTGTTATCTGGCCATCTAATAATTATATTTGACCTTGAGATAAGGAGACTGCATGAGATAGTTTTACAGTTGAAAAATTAAATACTAAGTTTTAGTTATGACATTTGTATGCTGTAGTTTTTGTGCATGTGGGATTTCAGATGCCAGTATATCTCTCTGCTCTAGCAGTTGTCCACTTGCAACCCAATGGCTCCCCCACTCCCCACTTTACATACAGCATAAGTGCTAGTTCACATCTTAGCTCCATCTTTGTAGTTATTATTATTATTGATTGTAACAGTTTTATTGAGTTATAATTCACATCATAAAGTTCACCCACTTAAAGTGTAAAATTCAGTGGTTTTTAGAATACTCAGAGTTGTACAGCCAGCAAACACTACAGTCAATTTTAGAATATCTTCACTCCAAAGAGAAACCCTGTAGCCACTAGCAGTCACTCCCCTTTCCTCCCAAACTCCTTAGCCCTAGGCAACAACTGCTCCTTTTTGTCTGTAGATTTGCTTATTCTGCACATTTTATATAAATGAATCATACAATATGTGGTCTTTTGTGACTGGCTTCTTTCACTTAGCATGTTTTCAAGGTTCATTTATGTTGTAGCACGTATGAGTACTTCAGTCATTTTGATGGCTAAGTAATACTTCAGTGTATGGATATGGCATATGTCATATATCCGTTCGTTGATGGACATTTGGTTTGTTTCTTTTGGCCATTGTAGCTAATGCTGCAGTGAACATTTGTGTACAAGTTGTATGTAGTTTCATGTTTTCAGTTATCTTGGGTATATACCTAGGAGTTGAATTACTGTATCATATGATAACTCTATTTAATGGTTTGAAGAACTGCCATACTATTTTCTTAAAGTGCCTGAACCATTTTACATTCCTGCCAGCAGTGTATGAAGGTTCCAGGTTTTCCACATTATAATTATTATTTTTTAATAACATTTTCTAGTGGTTAGCATCAAAGATAATATACTTAATACTGAGTACATTGCAGTTGATAGGGAAGTGATGTTCTACATGCTTGGTTCCTGGGCTGCTGGAATATCAGTCTATGGCTAAGTTTCTTAAAAAGAATTCATAAGGCACCAACAGATAAACTGATAACTTTTTTTTTGCCCCAGTCTTTGAGTTGTTCATCTTTTAAAGCATGTTATTGTCCACATTTTCTTTAAAGAAATATAAATTCAGTGACTTTTGGTGTAGTGATTCACTTGAGTTTAATAATGCCGTAAGTATTGTAGGTCATGTGGGCTGAAATGCTTTGATAATTTGGGTTGGGAGAAGAGACTTTTGAACCTAAAGATGTGAGTTGTGATTGGTATTACCTTTTAAGCAGTCATGTTTAATTTTTGATTCTTTAGGAAAGCCAGCCATTGCTCATAGAGATTTGAAATCAAAGAATATCTTGGTAAAGAAGAATGGAACTTGCTGTATTGCAGACTTAGGACTGGCAGTAAGACATGATTCAGCCACAGATACCATTGATATTGCTCCAAACCACAGAGTGGGAACAAAAAGGTATACTTTTGAACAACTATATTTAATATCTTCTGAAATCACCTTTTTTCCCTTCTCTTTCATATATACATATCATTGCTGAAACTCAGCTTAAACTTGCACTTTATTAGATTGCCAACAGGTAAGAAGATCTCATGGTCTTGCCTGCTCTGAAGCCAGAGTTACCTGACTTAAAAAGATGCCTGCTGATGAAAGGTTGCCCTTCCAGAAAATATCATTAGGCATGTTAATTATAATAACAGTAGTAACTAACGTTTATAGGGCACCTACTATGTGCCAATCGTCTAATAGGTCTTTTACGTATATTACCTCATTTAATCCCTTCTCAAATACTGTGCAGTAGCTAGCCCTGCTATTTTCATATTTCAGTTCCTAAAAATATGCCTTTCTTGCTTTCTTAGAACTTTTGCACATGCTGTCTCCTGGAGCATACTTTACCCTACTGTTTCTCAGCCTCATACCCACCTTTCCCGTAGGAAGTTTTTTCTAGTCCTCAAAAATCTTAGGAGTCCCTGCCAGGGACTGTCATAGCACACTGAACTGGGACCGTTGAGGCACTTATGCGTTATGTTGTAACTGTTTATTTATTTGCCTATATATTCTATTAGGTGCAAGCTGCTTGAGAGCAGCCTTGTATTCCCAGCATCCATCACAGTGCCTAATACATGGTAGATCCTCAGTAGATATTTGTTGAGTCCATGAGTCTTCAAAAGAACTTAATTAGGTAGGTGTTATTACCCTTTAATTCACAGATGAGGAAACCACCTTGAGGAGGTTAAATAATATGGCCAGCTTCATGTGGATGATAAGCCGAAGAGCTGAGATTTGAACCTGGGCATTTCTGACCCAAACCCCTTATCACAAGCTGTCACAGCATTTTTTCAAACTACTGTCTTGGCCTTGGAGACAGCTGGAGAGCCAGCAGCATTAGTCTATTCAAATTGCATGTATAATTTTGAGATTTCTGGATTCCCTGGGGACTCTCAATTTTCCCATCCAAGTACTAAGCAGGCCCGACCCTGCTTAGCTTCCAAGATCAGACGAGATCGGGCGTGTTTAGGGTGGTATGGCCGTAGATGACTCTCAATTCTCAACCAGCTAAGGGGTCCTTGTCAGTGGTTGCTGTAGGTCTCTGTGGGTCCTGACCCATAATTTTGGTAGGTTTTTGAAGCTTCAGTATGAGGACTGGCATTCTTTTGTATCTATTATTTTTTTCCCTGGAGTATATTCGTGCCCTTCCTTTCATCCTCAGTGAGAAGACTTCTAAATTAAAATGCATGGTTTCTACCTAGTACGTGTATAGGTGGTGTACATTAGGACACCTTTAACAGTCACAATTGTTATGTATGTCTTTCATTGGAAACCAAGATCATGAGGCAGATAGTGTGAAACTGCTATTTTAGCATTTTGTGGGATTTAGTTGACATCATTAATGTGCAAACCAGTGTGGATATTTAATATTTTTCTTGAGTCTAATATTTGTTATGTAATATTGTGTACATATGTCTATGTATAAAGAAATGTCTGAAAGGAGGTTCATCCAAATATGGCAGTAAGGGGATGATTTTCAAAGTTCTTTTTGCAAATTTTTTTTAGGTACATGGCCCCTGAAGTTCTCGATGATTCCATAAATATGAAACATTTTGAATCCTTCAAACGTGCTGACATCTATGCAATGGGCTTAGTATTCTGGGAAATTGCTCGACGATGTTCCATTGGTGGTAAATTGCTCTCCTCTCCCCCAGTAGTTTGTCATGAGCAGAAGTTGTTCAAGAATTGTCTTCTTTTTTTAATTGAATGAAATTATGTACAGTCCATTATCTGAAACAGGATGTCACCGAGTGCCAGAGAAAACAAAGGCGATGAAACCTTTGGGAGGGGACAGTGCCATGGTGTGCACATGCACAGCTCTAGCCTAGTGTATTCTCTTCCTGTTTCCATTTGAATCTGGAGACTCATCAGAACCCAACCCCTTGTTATATTGGAATATAGTTCTTTAGAATGGACAGCTGCTTGAGAGGCTCACCTAGGAAGCTGTTTCTAGCATGTACCTGGGTGTCAAACTTATTTTTTTTCTTTGAGATTGTGGTTATTTTCTCCAACTTGATAGTTACAGTTACATACACAGAATACAATTATGTTACCATTGTGTTGTATTCTAGAGTTAGTTTGTTTTAACTTCTAGCTTTTTAGATGGAGTACTTTTAATGTTTACTCAGGAAACAGTCTCTTAGGCTTGGGGACCTAGACTTGGCTGAGACCTAGTGCCTTAGGTTTTTGAAGCAGTGAGGGACAGAGTATTTCTCTGTATTGTAGTAAATAGGATATATTATTGACAGATGCAAGTAGAGAAAGGGACTTGGCACCTTAAACTTGCCTCATAAGATTCAAGTCTCACTGATAGGGTATATATATCCCTGTGCAAGTGAGAGCCTGTGCACTTACAGAATAGAATCTCATTTGCTGCACAATAGGGTTCTAGGGGAAAATGTCAATCTGGTCATCACAGCTCATAGTTTACTGTCATTTCAAATAGGCTTTATTGATCTCATGGCAATACTTAGTTTCAAGGTGTGGGTGGAATATCAACTCAGGGAAGTGGCTTGTGGATACAGATGTGGATGAGATAGAGAAAGCTGTAATCTCTGTTCCACATACCTACTTTAGTAATGAAACACTGTAATAGGTCTCTCAGGTGATCTTTTAATGCCTTGGCATTAGCTGAATAAATTCATCAAAATTTAATTTTTTTTAAACTGATACAGGAATTCATGAAGATTACCAACTGCCTTATTATGATCTTGTACCTTCTGACCCATCAGTTGAAGAAATGAGAAAAGTTGTTTGTGAACAGAAGTTAAGGCCAAATATCCCAAACAGATGGCAGAGCTGTGAAGTGAGTATTTCTTTTTGATATTAGGCAATTTTCTAAACTGCTTCTGCTTAGTAAGCAAAAGTTTGCTACTTTTCTTTAAGGAAAACTTTTCTTTAAGAATTTTCTTTTTCATAGCAGTCAAACCAATGTTTAAAAACAGAATAATTTGGTTTTCATATTCAATTGTAAGCACATTGAAAGGGCCATGGAACATTTGCAGTGGCCTTTAGTGTATCAGAACATAGTTTAGATCTGCCGGGCGAACTAAGGCACATATTTTTAAATGAATGCCTCCCTTCAGCCGGGGCAACCCAGAACACTAGACAGTTACCGGACATGAATGAGGAGCCCTGTATTCTAGACCAGCCTGGCTACCATTTCAAGGGTCTGACTCTGAACAAATCCCTTTAGTTCTCTGGACTTTAATATCCCTTTGCAAGGTGAGGAACTCAGATAAGGTGATTACAAAGGTGTTTCAAATGATTTTCCGTTTTATTCATCTGATTGCCCAGATAACCGTTAACCAGGAATTTAGGGAAAATGCTTTTTTCCAGCAGTATCTGAGCTGCTCAACTTCAGCTCTAACAAAAAGTTTTAGAAACGTTTTTGTAATTGTAAATTTAAAGATTCGTAAGATGAATTTTATTTAACCTCTCCTTAATTGCTAGCTGTTACTATTACAATATTGGTGAAGCAGAGCATATTCCTCCAGGTTTGAAGATTTGTAGCTTAAAAAGGCTATAAAAAGCTGTTCAGTTCAGTAGTTGATTTTACGTCTTAAACTATTGTAGGACTCAGCAGAACCTCTGATAAGCAAGAGAGCTTGCTACCTCCAACAAAATCACATCTCCAGGCCCAAATAAATAAAATGTATTTCAGCATGCTTAAGGAATTTGCATGTGACATAGTTTAATAAATGAGAGTGCTGCTAGATTTTGTCTTTTAGAAATTTGATCTACTTGGGAGGCTGAAGTGGGAGGATTGCTGGAGCCTGGGAGGTCAAGGCTGCAGTGAGCTGAGGGCATGCCATTGCATTCCACTTTGGGCGGCAGAGTGAGACCCTGTCTCAAAAAAAAAAAAAAGAAAGAAAAATTTGATGTGAATACTTCAAAGTACAAACTTAAAATTTCAGTGTGAGGTCAGATTTCTTCTTTGCTTTGCCCAGCTCTGGTTTAGGATTCGGCCTTTTCAGGTTTGCTAAATGAGTCACTCTTTGTCCACCTGCTTTCCAGCACTGGCACCAGTACCCTATTGATGGAAATTTATGTAATTTCTACTCATTTGCTATTACAAATAATGCTTAAACAATAACAAGTGTATATGTCATTTAAAAAGAAAATTTACACGTAAAAATTCTTATCCAGACCAATGGAAAATGGTGCATGCATTAATTTTTTTTTTTATATTTTCTTGTAGGCCTTGAGAGTAATGGCTAAAATTATGAGAGAATGTTGGTATGCCAATGGAGCAGCTAGGCTTACAGCATTGCGGATTAAGAAAACATTATCGCAACTCAGTCAACAGGAAGGCATCAAAATGTAATTCTACAGCTTTGCCTGAACTCTCCTTTTTTCTTCAGATCTGCTCCTGGGTTTTAATTTGGGAGGTCAATTGTTCTACCTCACTGAGAGGGAACAGAAGGATATTGCTTCCTTTTGCAGCAGTGTAATAAAGTCAATTAAAAACTTCCCAGGATTTCTTTGGACCCAGGAAACAGCCATGTGGGTCCTTTCTGTGCACTATGAACGCTTCTTTCCCAGGACAGAAAATGTGTAGTCTACCTTTATTTTTTATTAACAAAACTTGTTTTTTAAAAAGATGATTGCTGGTCTTAACTTTAGGTAACTCTGCTGTGCTGGAGATCATCTTTAAGGGCAAAGGAGTTGGATTGCTGAATTACAATGAAACATGTCTTATTACTAAAGAAAGTGATTTACTCCTGGTTAGTACATTCTCAGAGGATTCTGAACCACTAGAGTTTCCTTGATTCAGACTTTGAATGTACTGTTCTATAGTTTTTCAGGATCTTAAAACTAACACTTATAAAACTCTTATCTTGAGTCTAAAAATGACCTCATATAGTAGTGAGGAACATAATTCATGCAATTGTATTTTGTATACTATTATTGTTCTTTCACTTATTCAGAACATTACATGCCTTCAAAATGGGATTGTACTATACCAGTAAGTGCCACTTCTGTGTCTTTCTAATGGAAATGAGTAGAATTGCTGAAAGTCTCTATGTTAAAACCTATAGTGTTTGAATTCAAAAAGCTTATTTATCTGGGTAACCCAAACTTTTTCTGTTTTGTTTTTGGAAGGGTTTTTGTGGTATGTCATTTGGTATTCTATTCTGAAAATGCCTTTCTCCTACCAAAATGTGCTTAAGCCACTAAAGAAATGAAGTGGCATTAATTAGTAAATTATTAGCATGGTCATGTTTGAATATTCTCACATCAAGCTTTTGCATTTTAATTGTGTTGTCTAAGTATACTTTTAAAAAATCAAGTGGCACTCTAGATGCTTATAGTACTTTAATATTTGTAGCATACAGACTAATTTTTCTAAAAGGGAAAGTCTGTCTAGCTGCTTGTGAAAAGTTATGTGGTATTCTGTAAGCCATTTTTTTCTTTATCTGTTCAAAGACTTATTTTTTAAGACATGAATTACATTTAAAATTAGAATATGGTTAATATTAAATAATAGGCCTTTTTCTAGGAAGGCGAAGGTAGTTAATAATTTGAATAGATAACAGATGTGCAAGAAAGTCACATTTGTTATGTATGTAGGAGTAAACGTTCGGTGGATCCTCTGTCTTTGTAACTGAGGTTAGAGCTAGTGTGGTTTTGAGGTCTCACTACACTTTGAGGAAGGCAGCTTTTAATTCAGTGTTTCCTTATGTGTGCGTACATTGCAACTGCTTACATGTAATTTATGTAATGCATTCAGTGCACCCTTGTTACTTGGGAGAGGTGGTAGCTAAAGAACATTCTGAGTATAGGTTTTTCTCCATTTACAGATGTCTTTGGTCAAATATTGAAAGCAAACTTGTCATGGTCTTCTTACATTAAGTTGAAACTAGCTTATAATAACTGGTTTTTACTTCCAATGCTATGAAGTCTCTGCAGGGCTTTTACAGTTTTCGAAGTCCTTTTATCACTGTGATCTTATTCTGAGGGGAGAAAAAACTATCATAGCTCTGAGGCAAGACTTCGACTTTATAGTGCTATCAGTTCCCCGATACAGGGTCAGAGTAACCCATACAGTATTTTGGTCAGGAAGAGAAAGTGGCCATTTACACTGAATGAGTTGCATTCTGATAATGTCTTATCTCTTATACGTAGAATAAATTTGAAAGACTATTTGATCTTAAAACCAAAGTAATTTTAGAATGAGTGACATATTACATAGGAATTTAGTGTCAATTTCATGTGTTTAAAAACATCATGGGAAAAATGCTTAGAGGTTACTATTTTGACTACAAAGTTGAGTTTTTTTCTGTAGTTACCATAATTTCATTGAAGCAAATGAATGAGTTTGAGAGGTTTGTTTTTATAGTTGTGTTGTATTACTTGTTTAATAATAATCTCTAATTCTGTGATCAGGTACTTTTTTTGTGGGGGTTTTTTTTTTGTTTTTTTTTTTTTGTTGTTGTTTTTGGGCCATTTCTAAGCCTACCAGATCTGCTTTATGAAATCCAGGGGACCAATGCATTTTATCACTAAAACTATTTTTATATAATTTTAAGAATATACCAAAAGTTGTCTGATTTAAAGTTGTAATACATGATTTCTCACTTTCATGTAAGGTTATCCACTTTTGCTGAAGATATTTTTTATTGAATCAAAGATTGAGTTACAATTATACTTTTCTTACCTAAGTGGATAAAATGTACTTTTGATGAATCAGGGAATTTTTTTAAAGTTGGAGTTTAGTTCTAAATTGACTTTACGTATTACTGCAGTTAATTCCTTTTTTGGCTAGGGATGGTTTGATAAACCACAATTGGCTGATATTGAAAATGAAAGAAACTTAAAAGGTGGGATGGATCATGATTACTGTCGATAACTGCAGATAAATTTGATTAGAGTAATAATTTTGTCATTTAAAAACACAGTTGTTTATACTGCCCATCCTAGGATGCTCACCTTCCAAGATTCAACGTGGCTAAAACATCTTCTGGTAAATTGTGCGTCCATATTCATTTTGTCAGTAGCCAGGAGAAATGGGGATGGGGGAAATACGACTTAGTGAGGCATAGACATCCCTGGTCCATCCTTTCTGTCTCCAGCTGTTTCTTGGAACCTGCTCTCCTGCTTGCTGGTCCCTGACGCAGAGACCGTTGCCTCCCCCACAGCCGTTTGACTGAAGGCTGCTCTGGAGACCTAGAGTAAAACGGCTGATGGAAGTTGTGGGACCCACTTCCATTTCCTTCAGTCATTAGAGGTGGAAGGGAGGGGTCTCCAAGTTTGGAGATTGAGCAGATGAGGCTTGGGATGCCCCTGCTTTGACTTCAGCCATGGATGAGGAGTGGGATGGCAGCAAGGTGGCTCCTGTGGCAGTGGAGTTGTGCCAGAAACAGTGGCCAGTTGTATCGCCTATAAGACAGGGTAAGGTCTGAAGAGCTGAGCCTGTAATTCTGCTGTAATAATGATAGTGCTCAAGAAGTGCCTTGAGTTGGTGTACAGTGCCATGGCCATCAAGAATCCCAGATTTCAGGTTTTATTACAAAATGTAAGTGGTCACTTGGCGATTTTGTAGTACATGCATGAGTTACCTTTTTTCTCTATGTCTGAGAACTGTCAGATTAAAACAAGATGGCAAAGAGATCGTTAGAGTGCACAACAAAATCACTATCCCATTAGACACATCATCAAAAGCTTATTTTTATTCTTGCACTGGAAGAATCGTAAGTCAACTGTTTCTTGACCATGGCAGTGTTCTGGCTCCAAATGGTAGTGATTCCAAATAATGGTTCTGTTAACACTTTGGCAGAAAATGCCAGCTCAGATATTTTGAGATACTAAGGATTATCTTTGGACATGTACTGCAGCTTCTTGTCTCTGTTTTGGATTACTGGAATACCCATGGGCCCTCTCAAGAGTGCTGGACTTCTAGGACATTAAGATGATTGTCAGTACATTAAACTTTTCAATCCCATTATGCAATCTTGTTTGTAAATGTAAACTTCTAAAAATATGGTTAATAACATTCAACCTGTTTATTACAACTTAAAAGGAACTTCAGTGAATTTGTTTTTATTTTTTAACAAGATTTGTGAACTGAATATCATGAACCATGTTTTGATACCCCTTTTTCACGTTGTGCCAACGGAATAGGGTGTTTGATATTTCTTCATATGTTAAGGAGATGCTTCAAAATGTCAATTGCTTTAAACTTAAATTACCTCTCAAGAGACCAAGGTACATTTACCTCATTGTGTATATAATGTTTAATATTTGTCAGAGCATTCTCCAGGTTTGCAGTTTTATTTCTATAAAGTATGGGTATTATGTTGCTCAGTTACTCAAATGGTACTGTATTGTTTATATTTGTACCCCAAATAACATCGTCTGTACTTTCTGTTTTCTGTATTGTATTTGTGCAGGATTCTTTAGGCTTTATCAGTGTAATCTCTGCCTTTTAAGATATGTACAGAAAATGTCCATATAAATTTCCATTGAAGTCGAATGATACTGAGAAGCCTGTAAAGAGGAGAAAAAAACATAAGCTGTGTTTCCCCATAAGTTTTTTTAAATTGTATATTGTATTTGTAGTAATATTCCAAAAGAATGTAAATAGGAAATAGAAGAGTGATGCTTATGTTAAGTCCTAACACTACAGTAGAAGAATGGAAGCAGTGCAAATAAATTACATTTTTCCCAAGTGCCAGTGGCATATTTTAAAATAAAGTGTATACGTTGGAATGAGTCATGCCATATGTAGTTGCTGTAGATGGCAACTAGAACCTTTGAGTTACAAGAGTCTTTAGAAGTTTTCTAACCCTGCCTAGTGCAAGTTACAATATTATAGCGTGTTCGGGGAGTGCCCTCCTGTCTGCAGGTGTGTCTCTGTGCCTGGGGGCTTTTCTCCACATGCTTAGGGGTGTGGGTCTTCCATTGGGGCATGATGGACCTGTCTACAGGTGATCTCTGTTGCCTTTGGGTCAGCACATTTGTTAGTCTCCTGGGGGTGAAAACTTGGCTTACAAGAGAACTGGAAAAATGATGAGATGTGGTCCCCAAACCCTTGATTGACTCTGGGGAGGGGCTTTGTGAATAGGATTGCTCTCACATTAAAGATAGTTACTTCAATTTGAAGGCTGGATTTAGGGATTTTTTTTTTTCCTTATAACAAAGACATCACCAGGATATGAAGCTTTTGTTGAAAGTTGGAAAAAAAGTGAAATTAAAGACATTCCCAGACAAATACTAAGACAATTTGTTGCCTATGGACGTCTGCCTTACAAGAAATACTAAATCCTTCACACAGAAAATAAATGACACCAGATGGTAACCTGAATCCACAGGATGAAATGAAGAGCACCAGAAATGGTGGATATATGTACAACTAGCAAAGACTGTATGATTGTATAGCTGCCATAAATTACTACAAATGCCCTGGCTTAAAGCAACACCTATTTATGATCTCAGAATTCCATAATTCAGAAGTCTAGGCATAGCTCAGATGGTTCTCTGCTCCATATTTTAAAAGGTCAAAATGAAGGCATTGGCTGGGCAACATTCTTTTCTGGAGGCTCGGATGAATAGGCTTCCAAGCTCATTGAGGTTGTTGGCAGAATTCAGCTCCATATGGTTGTAAGACAGGTTGGCCAGGGGTGGTTGTCAGTTTCTAGAAGCCACTCAAATTCTTTGGCTCGTGGTTCCCTCCTCCATCATCAAAACCAGCAGCAATGGGTTGAATCATCCTTGCACTTTTCTCGGATCTCCCCTTCTGCCTCATCTCTCCACTGTCTCTTCCACTGCATCTCTCTAATGCTTCTGCTTCCCTCTTCTGCTTTTAAGGGGCCATGTGATTACTCAGGGGGCCATCTGGATAATCCAGGATAATTACCCTATTTAGTAACCTCAGTTTTACCTGCAAAGTGCATTCACTGCAGTACCAAGATTAGTATTTGATTAAATAACTAGAGAATGGGAATCTTGGGGAAATAATTTGCCTACCAAAATAAATGTAAGTTATCTTTCAGTAGCATAAGACTATATAGTAATTACATCACCATACTGTTGGGTTTACAATATAGGTGCAGTGTATATTAATAACAAAGGAGTGGGTAGGAAATGGAACTCTATTGGGACAAAGATGTATCTTATTAGAATTAATTAGTCCTAATTTGAAGATGATTGTAATAAATTGAAATGCATGCTGTAGAGCCTGGAGTAACCACTGAAGCATCAATTTAAAAATAAATTAAAAAAAACAAAATGGTACACCAAGAAATATTTAACACAAAAGGCAGAAAGAAAGAAGCAAAATGATAGACATTTGGAAAACAAATAGCAAAATGGCAGCCATAAGTAATCATGCCAATAATTTCATTAAATGTGAATGGACTAAATAGTTAAAAGGTAGAGATGGTCAGGATGGATTTAAAAAGAAAAAACTATATGGTGTTCACAGAGGCACACTGTAGATTCAAAGACCAATAGCTGTAAAGTGAAAGTATGGAAAAATATAACATGCAAACAGTAATCGTAAGAGAGCTGGAATGTCTATATCAGTACAGTGGGCTTTAAGACAAATATTACTGGAAATATAGGATATTTTAAAAAGCCAATATATCAGATATAACAGTTAACATATGTATATGCACCTAACAGGACCCCAAAATAACGAGAAAAATGATAGAATTGAGAGGAGAAATGGACAATTTAATAATATTTGGAGATTTTGACACCTACAATAATTGATAGAATGACTCAATTGAGAATCACAGGCATACAAAAGAATGCTGTCAGCCAAATTGTCCAAACATTTACCACCACCCACCACGAACAGAATGCACACTCTTTGCTAGTGCACATGGAACATTCTCCAGGGGAAACCACATGCTATTTCATAAAAGAAGTCTCAGTGAATTAAAAGGGATGAAATAGTAGGAAGTATGTTCTCCAACCATGTTGAAATTAGAAGTCAACAGAAAATTGCAAATCCCAAAATATTCGGAAATTGAATCACACATTTCTAAAAAACCCATGTATTGAAGAAGTCACAAAGGAAGTTAGAAAATTTTAAACAAATGAAAAAGTACAGCATGTCAAAATTTATAGTGTACAGCTAATGCACTGTTTAAAGGGAAATTTACACTTTTAAATACCTATACTTTAGAAGTATTAAAGCCAGTGGGGATAGCTGCAAAAATACTTAAAACACAATATTAGGAAACTGAATCCAACAACAGATAAAAGGATTTATACACCAGGACCAAATGGGCCATATCCTAGGACTGTAAGCTTCATTTAACATCAAAAAAATCAATGTATTATACCATACTAATAGAAGAAACAATAAAACCCATATTATTATAATAACTAAATAGCCAAAGGAAAGAATATTTGACAGAATTCAGCACCCATTCGTGATGAAAACTCAGCAAACTAGAAATAGAAGGCAACTTCCTCAACCTAGTGAAGGGCATCGATAAAAAACTCACAGCCAACATACTTGATGGTGAAAGAATACTTTTCTCCTTAAATCAGAAACAAGTCGAGAACATCCTTTCATCATTTCTATTCAATGTTGTCATGGAGGTTCTGTCCAGTCCCTGTTCCCTCTCCCTACAAAAAGACTAGAAAGACATTAGGTTGGGGAAAAAAGTAAAACTGTCTTTATTAAGAAATATTACCTGTCAGATTCTAAAGAATCCACCGGAAAAAATTTTTTTTTTGAAGCTACAAGACCTAATTCAGCAAGCAAGGTTGTAGGATACACAATCAATATTAAAAATTGACATTATATTAGCAATGAACGATACCTTCAAAAGTAAACTCAGAATAGCGTCAAAAAGAATATAATAATACATTTATTTAATTGAAAAAATATTGCCGAGAGAAATCAAAGGATCTAAATGAGAACTTCCATGCTCATGGATTAGAGAATTCAACAGTGTTATGATGGCAATTCTCCCCAAATTGTTCTATAGATTCAACTCAATCCCTAGCGATATTCCAGAAAGGTTTTTCTTTAAATTCACAAGCTGATCCTAAAACTTAACATGGAAATGCAAAATGTCTAAAAGATCCTAAATGATTTTGAAATGCACAAAATTGGAGGAATTGCCTTACCCAGTTTCAAAACTTACTGTAAAGCAACAATAATCAAGACTGTTTATTGACACAAGGATAGTCAGTCATATACAGCAACAGGACAGAATTAAGAGTCCAGAAATAAGCCCTCACAGACGACCAACGGACTTTCAAGATATGTGCAAAGATAATTCAACAGGAGAAAAGACAGTCATTTCAATAAATGGTGCTGAGACAATTGGATATCTGTATTTTAAAAGGAAGGAAAAAAGGAAGAAAGTTAATTAGACCCTCAGCTCATTATGCACCTAAAGGTAAGAGCTAAAGCTATACAACTTCTAGAAGAAAACAGGAGAAAATCTTTGTGATGTTAGGTTAGGCAAAGATTTTAATAGGACTTCAAAAGCAAAATTTATTAAAAACCAGTTGATAAATTGGACTTCACCACAATTAAAATATTTGGGGCTTTAAAAAACAAGAGAATGAAAAGATGAGCCAAAGACTGGCATAAAGTATTTGCAAATCATACATCTGATAAGAGATTTGTATTCAGAATATATAAAGAACTCTTACAATTCAATAAGAATACAAATGGCCCAATTAAAAATTGGTGAACAAATTCATTGCTCAGAGATTGGGTATGGTAGAGTTAATTCTAAATTCTGTATTTGGGTATTAATGTTTAAATGGTAATTCGGCAACAGTTGATAAAGTGAAGCTCTAAATACCATGAATTATGTGTAGGACTGTGACAAAAAAAGTAAAAATAAAAACTGGTCAAAAGATTTGACATTTTCCCAAGAAGATATATGAATGGCTAATAAACATAATTCTTTATAAAGACTAGATGAAATTAAAACCACAATGAGAAACCACTCCTCACACACTCAAATGATTATAGTTTTTAAAAAGACAGATAGCCAAGTGTCAATAAAGATGAGAAAAAGATGAATCTCACACATTGCTGGAATGTAAACAGTCCCTTTGGAAAACAGATTGCAGTATCTTAAGAGGTTAAATAGAAACCTATTATGTAACCCAGTAATATCATTTCTAGGTATCAGTAGAGGTGCCAGATAAAATACAGGAGGCTCAGTTAAATTTGTGTGTCAGATAAAAACAATTTTTTAGTATAAGTTTGTCCCACATATTGCATGGAACATGTTTATACTAAAAAAAAGTATTGTTTATCTGACATTTAAATTTAACTCGGCTTCCTGTATTTTAACTTGCTAAATCTGGCAACTCTAATCCAAGAAAAATTAAAACATATGTCCACACAAAGACCTGTAGGTGAATATTCACAGCAGCATAATTCCTAATAGTCAAAAATGGAAACAAGCTAAATGTCCATCATCTGGTGAATTGATATTTAAGAGGTAAGGTATTTATACCATGGTTTATAAGACTGCTTGATCCTTGTTATAATGTGGATGACCTCAAAACCCTCATGCTAAGTGAAGGAAGTGGGATGAAAAGGTTGCAGAAAGGCACAAGGGAGCTTTTTCGGATGATGGGAATTGAGGCAGGAGAATAGGGTCTGGAGGCAGGGAACCTAAGGCTCTTTCACCCTGACTTCCTAGAACTAAATTGAAAGGAAAACCCTAACTTTCCACGCCTAAGTAAAAAAAGGACCAGAGGCTGCAGATGGGAAATCTGTCTGCAACAAATCAGACTGAGTACCAGTGGAGTCTTCGTTTGCAACTTTGTGACTTAGCTCCAGCCTCTGAATGGTTGCCGTCCACAATCAACCAGACTGATTGCAGGCTTAGTCAGTCTTCATTTGCACAGAAGTATAACTTTGTAACTTCACCGTAGCCTCTGATTGGTTGCCTTTACCAATCAGATGTTTGCACAGGAGTGTGACCTTTGTAACTTCAGCCTCTGGTTGGCTGCTTTCTGCAACCAATCAGACTGATTGAGGGCTACCACTTCATTTACATGAAGTATGCATGAAGTGGCCAATGGGAAACTTCTGGGGGGTATTTGGACCAAAGAAGATTCTGTATTGGGGGCTCTTGAGTAGCTGCTCAGGCTGCTCCCACACTGTGGAGTGTACTTTTGTTTTCAATACATCCCTGCTTTCCTTCTTTTGTTGCTTCATTCTTTCTTTGCTTTGCTGGGCGTTTTGTTCAACTCTGTTCAAAACGCCAGGAATCTGGACAACTTGCAGTTACGACCTTCTACTGGTGACAGAATGTTTCAAAGCTTGATTTTGGTGATGGATTCAGAACTCCGTAAATTTACTAAACATTGTGCACATGAAATGGGGAAATTTTATGGTGTGTAAACTATATCTCAATACGTCTGTTAAAGGAAAAAAAAGTAAAACTCGCCTTTGCCAGTTTTTGTTGTTGTTGTTTGTTTTTTGTTTTTTCTTTAAACAGGGACTCTCTGTCACCCAGGCTGGAGAGCAGTGGTGCGATCACAGCTCCGGGCAACCTCGACTTTCCCGGGTTCAAGTGATTCTCGCCCATCAGCATCTCGAGTAGCTGGGACTACAGGCACCAGCCAGCACCCCAGGCTAATTTTTGTATTTTTTAGTAGATACGGGGTTTCAGCGTGTAGCCCAGGCTAGTCTCGAACTCCTGAGCTCAGGTGATCCGTCCGCGTCAGCCTCCCAAAGTGCTGGGATTACAGGCGTGAGCCACTGCACCGGGTCTCACCTTACCATTCTTGCCACCCACCATACTTCCTTCATCTGTCCGCCATGCTGCATGTCCCGACGCACCCTGCTTCCTGCCTTTCTGCTAGGCTCCGCCCTTCGCTGGAACTGCATTTTTCCCTCTCCTCTGCCTTGCTAACTTGAATCAACCCCAAGGCTCAGGTCGGAAGGCATTTCCTCCACTATTGTTGCGCATCCTGCCTGCTGGCAAATCATTGATCCCCTGCTGCATTTCCAAATCACTTACCTCATTTCATTGCACATCGTTCCTGTTTTAATCCCCTTAGGGAGTTAGGACTCTTGCTCTCCCTCTCTTCCCTTGAGAGAAGCAGACGGTTTCTGTGTATTTTCCTGTCCAAGCACCTAACGTGAAAATTAACAAAATAGTTTGAGTGCTTATTTTTGGTGCTAACTCTGCTGGGTCCTTGGATGCTCCGGGAGTCTGGCATGTTTGGGGTGCTTTGTCAAAATTTTTAGGGGTCTTCCCTAAATGGCTCCCACCACACTCTGTTTCCAATGCCGCATCATTTCGTACACATGCCTCCCTCTAAGCCCTTGTATTAATTTTACGTCTCTGTGTTGTTCCAAGGCTTGCTGCTGCAACTAGCTATGAATGCCTGGAGAACAGGGACTCTGTCTGATTCATTTCTGTGAAGCTCTTGCCTAGTCCAGGGCTTGGCTCAGAGCACGCACTAAGAGGAGCTTGTTGAATGAACGAATATTCAATTAAAGGAATCCCAAATGAATATGAACCAATCTAACAGAATGTCGCTATGGAGATGGATATTTACTTCATCAATAAGGAGAGTCCTTCATCCTGGGGCTCCCCAAATGCAAGGCCTACAAGTTTTTTTATAAAGGGATTTCTTACTGCCCCACCAATTTCTGGCCTCCCCTTGCTATTCCGTTTATTTATTCCATCAACTACTTCCATTTTTTTTATTGGTTTATATTTTTCTCATATTTGATGGCATTCTTTTTAAAACAATGAGCTCTCCTTAGTCAGAACCCAGCACCTTTTAGTAAGATGGAAGTTTGGGATCTTCTGATTTGAATTACGTAAAGTGAAAGAATATTTTTACATTCTTGATACTTATTCTCAATTTTGCATTCTCTTTATGGCACATTGACTGTATAATAAATCCTGTACATATTATTCATCTCTTTATATTTCTTTTCTTGTACTGTTCTCCCAAATGAAAACCAGAATTCTTATTCACAGCAATTTAGACCAGCCCAGCTTATGAGCAGAGTGATACAGGTCATTTTGGAAGTCTTTCCAGCTCTATTATTTTGTGATTCTCATATAGTTCTTACTTTTTTTTTTAACCAATGATTGAATGAAATCTGTTTTGATCATATTGGGATGTTCATATTTTCAACCTTTATTCATTTGTTTATTCTCTCAAGTTCCTTTTTATGTGATTTTTAAAAACATTTCAACTTTTATTTTAGATTCAGGGTGTACATGTGCAGATTTTTTTACATGGTTATATTGCATGATGCTGAGGTTTGGGGTATGATTGATTCTGTCACTCAGGTAGTGAGCATAGACCCAATGCATAGTTTTTCAGCCCCTGTTCCCTCCTACCTGCCCCGTGCAGCAGTCCCCAGTGTCGGTTGTTCCCATTTTTGTGTCCATGTGTACCCCGTGTTTAGCTTATAAAGTGAGAACATGCCATATTTGGTTTTCTGTTTCTGTGTTAGTTCGCTTAGGTTAATGGCCTCCAGCTGCATCCATGTTGCTGCGAAGAACATGATTTTGGTTTTTTATGATCGTATAGTATTCCATGGTGTATATGTACCACATTTTCTTTATCCAATCCACCGTGGATGGGCACCTAGGTTGATTCCATGTCTTTGCTATTGTGAATAGTGCTGCAATAAACATGTGAGCATCTTTTTGATAGAACAATGTATTTTCCCTTGGGTATCTGAGTAATGGAACTGCTGGGTTGAATGGTAGTTCTGTTTTAAGCTCTTTGAGAAACCTCCAAACTGCTTTCCACAGTGGTGGAACTTTATATTTCCAGCAGCAGTGTGCAAGGATTCCCTTTTCTCTGCAGCCTCCCCACCATCTATTATTTTTTGACTTTTAATAAGAGCCATTCTGACTGGTGTGAGATGGTGTCTCATTGTCAACCTTTAAAAATGAACAAGAGTTTGGTTCATCAGATCGCATTGCCTATGTTTTTTGTTTGTTTATTTGTTTGTTTGTTTTTGAGACAGAGTTTCACTCTTTCACCCAGGCCAGAGTACAGTGGTGAGATCTCGGCTCACTGCAACTTCTGCCTTCCAGGTTAAAGTGATTCTCCTGCCTCAGCCTCCTGAGTAGCTGGGATTACAGGCGCCTGCCACCACGCCCGGCTAATTTTTGTATTTTTAGTAGAGATGGGGTTTCACCATGTTGGCCAGGCTGGTCTCGAACTCCTGACCTTGTGATCCGCCCGCCTCGGCCTCCTAAACTGCTGGGATTACAGGCGTGAGCCACCACGCCCGGCCACTGCCTACCTTTTTAAAGAATGTGTCCTAAGCATGGTTAAGTTTGATACAGACATTCGGTGCTTGCCAAATACAGGCTGAGTTTAGGATGGCTCACCAAATATATAGCTTGATTCCTCCTGGACTATCTCATGCCATGGCTATGTTTGAGTCATTCCAAAAGCCAGTCGAATGGGATCTGTGACTCTGGGTGGAAGGGGCCCTGCATAGTACTTAACATAGAGTGGGCATCAATAAGTATTTGGTTGAATACACGAGTGCATGCAGATAATCTAACTGTAATCTAACTTCCTCAGAAATGCTGATGTTCTTCTGTAACTTCCAGGATGGAGGGTCACAGTGCTTCTCTATTGACATATATTCAGTGAGCAGGGTGCCTTCACTGTTTTCACAGAACATTATCTTATTTTTGGAAAGTAACAATTAAAACATTCTTTCTAGCAGAGTGACATATGTTGGCCCATATCTCCTCCCCACTCGTCTGCCAGGGTCCCACACTCCCAGCCTTTGTCCTGTAGCACAGCAAGTAAGAAACTGAGACCAAGTCCCTTTGGGTAGGCTCTTTACTAGGCTGAACAGAGTCTGTTTCTTAAACTGTCACTCATACCTTCCCAAGCATCCCTCAGTATGCTCCTGATTCCTTACTTCTATGGCTAAGAATCCGTGTGCCTGGTGGAAGATAACCCAGATTTCAGGTCTGTGCAGATCTCAAAATATCTCAAAATCTGTTTAAAAATCACAATTTAAAAAAAACTCAACTTAGCCTGTTCTCCAATAAATCCTCAATAGGTGGCAGTGTTGATCTTTCTTTGGTCTCTGGTCTGCGGGAGTGTTTTGGTTTGTTTGTTTTGTTTTCATATTAGAAAAGAGTTGAGGTTTCTACCTAGTTTTAGATTGAGTTCTACTAAATGTAGTTCTCAATCAGACTATTTTTCTTGAGGCCATACCAAAATCAATGACTGTTTTTCTTGAGGCCTTACCAAAAGCAATATCTCCTACGCCAGCTAAAAATGTGGTAAATCTTCAAGCTAGTATTCTATTATTTAACATTTTTAATTATAACAATTATTCATGGTTGTAAAGTTTCAAAAGCTACAGAAGTGTAGAAAGTAAAAAGTGAATGAAAGTTTTCCAGGTGTTTTGCTATGCACATAAAAATGCATATAGTTATAAAACATATAGATATATAACATTTATATATATAAATAGAGAACAATATGGATAATATGACTCTATATAAAAATGTTATATATCTGTATGTTTATATATAAATGTTATACATCTGTCATGTTTATATATGTAAATGTTATATATCTGTATGTTTATATATAACTGTTATTTATCTGTATGCTCATATATATGGCACATATATATATGAGGTCATATTAACCATGTTAGTCTGCAGCTTACATTTGCTTCTTTACATAGTGTTTGTTCTTCCACGTCAATATATATGATCACCATTCTTCCCACTTTCATGGCTTATAACAAAACTTTTACATTCTTTTTTTTCTTTTCCTTTTTTGAGACAGGGTCTCACTCTGTTGCCAGGCTGGAGTGCAGTGGCACAATCTCGGCTCACTGCACCCTCCGCCTCCCAGGCTCAAGCAATTCTCCTGCCTCAGCCTCCCGAGTAGCTGATTACAGGAGCCCACCACCACGCCGGGCTAATTTTTGTATTTTTAGTAGAGACAGGGTTTCACCATGTTGGCCAGGCTGGTCTTGAACTCCTGACCTCAAATGATCCACCCATCTCGGCCTCCCATAACATTTACATTCTGTTCTGGAACTACAGCCAAGTCTTCTAGGCTTGAATACTTAAACCAAATAAAAATAGCATTTACCATATTGTGGTTATACAAATATTAATCACTGCAGAAAAAAGTGTGATAAAATCTATAGAGAAAGAAAGAATATTCCATGTATTTAATACCAGCCACACAGCTGTCAACATTCAAATCTTGGTCTTTTAATGTAGTTTTTACTTTCCTCACTTTTATTCAGGTATCATTGTTTTTTATTTGCTTCAGTCTCATTTTTTTGAAATCTCATTCTTTCATTCCCTTTGTTTTGCACAAGTACTTCCGTGAGTAATTTTTACATTCGAGTGCACACGTGATAAACTTTCCTTGCATTGCTGGAGTATAATTTCAGCTCAAATTCATATTCCATTGGAGTTTTTTTTCTTTTTTCTTTTCTGAGACAGTCTCACTCTGTCACCCAGGCTGCAGTGCAGTGGTGCAGTCTCAGCTAACTGCAACCTTCACTTCCCAGGTTCAAGTGATTCTTCTGCCTCAGCCTCCTGGGTAGCTGGGATTACAAGCACGTGGTACCACACCTGGCTAATTTTTGTATTTTCAGTAGAGATGGGGTTTCACCATGTTGCTCAGGCTGGTCTCGAGCTCCTGACATTAAGTGACCTGCCTGCCTTGGCCTCCCAAAGTGCTGGGATTATAGACTTGAGCCACCATACCCAGCCTCCACTGGAGTTTTAAAGGCATGATTTTTAAAGCATTTCTGATGGGAAGTCTGAAATTAATTAAATTCTCATTTCTAATATTCAAGCTTTTAAGCCTTTCTCATTCTTCTTGGGGTTCTGAAATTTCTAAAAATATCTAGGTATGGGTTTTGTTTTCATTTATCCTGCTTGGTACTTAGTGGCCTCTTTCAATCTGAGGACTTGTATTTTTTCCCAGCTCAGGGAAACTTTCTATTATGTCTTTGACTTTATCCCCCACCACCTCTCTGATTTTTTTTCTTACCTTCTGAAACTCCTACTGAATTGATGGATGCTAGCCTCCTGGAGCTTTCCTGTTTCTAGACTTTTAGTTTTTACTATGCTGACTTTTTTCTGTATTTCTGGAGATTTCATTGACTTCCACACAACTGCTCTGGCTTTTGGTCTTGGCCATTCTATTATTCCTGTTTGCTGAATTTTTAAAATTTTGACCCTTATTTTACATTTCTAGAAATTATTTCTTGTTCTCCGATGGCTCCTTTTTTACGGCAGCTGGCTCTTGTTTTGGAGATTTCATTCTCTCACATCTCTCCAGAGATACTAATTAGGGTTTTATCTTTAACATTACCTACTTCATCTTGTTTTTTTTTTCCAGGATGACGTTGTGTTTACTCATGTTTGTTCAACTTGGTTGTGCTATTGGTTTTCCTCAAATATTTGGGGCTCCATGGCTCTCCGTCGACTTTCCTAAATGAAGGATTAGATTAATCTGTATGGATAGCTGGTGTGGCCTGCTTTCACAAGAGGCGTCTCCCTGGAAGGGGAGGGCCAGTTCAGGTCCCCTTGAGTGGCTGGGCCATATTGTCAGCAGGCTCACCTCTAGATTGCAGCAGGCAGCCTGGGATGCCCACGCCTGCCAAGGTAAGGAGGTATTTAAATAACGGACTGGAGTATTTAGCTATAATTTCCTTTTGGACAGAGGACTTTCTACCACCCCTCCATGCCTTCTGATATGGTTTGGCTTTATGTCTCCACCCAGATCTCATCTTGAATTGTAATCCCATAATCCCCTCGTGTCCTGGGAGGTACCTGGTTGGAGGTAATTGAATCATGGGGGCGGTTTCCCTCGGTGCTGTTCTCGTGATAGTGAGTGAGTTCTCATGAGACCTGATAGTTACAGGGGCTTCCCCCTTCACTTAGCACTCATTTTCTCTCTTGCCACCAGGTGAGGAAGGACGTATTTTCTTCCCCTTCCGCCATGATTGTAAGTTTTCTGAGGCCTCCCCAGCCATGCTAAACTGTGAGTCATTTAAATCTCTTTTCTTTATAAGTTACCCAGTCTCGGGTATGTCTTTATTAGCAGCGTGAGAATGGAGTAATACACCCTCTCAACCCAAACTTGCCATATATATTTGTTGGGGAGGCCTACATAGACTTCCAACCCTGTTCTTGTTCTGCTTCTCTCTTGACTTTAGACACCTATATTAGGATCCCTTCCTGGATAGATCACCCACATTTTTTAAGAATAATGATTGGGTCCTAGGTACCCAAAGGGCAAAATTACCACTAGTTGTTCCTTTACGGGTTGAGCATATGTTGAGCAGGGGAAGGGAGAAGGGAGGGGCCCCGAATGTCCCAGCCACTGTGAATGCAGCTCTTTGCTCAGTTACTCTGATGGTTATCCTATGGTCTACTCTTGCTTTCTGTCTCTTGTTTCTGAGTTTGGGGTTTCTCTAGGGCTCCCTTGAGAAGGAAAGTTCTTGGTACTGGTGTTTGGGGCTGTGGTTTACCTTTGTACTTTCTCAGTTGATCTGATCCCATCTACTTTTTCTTTTCTTTTCTTTTCTTTTTTTTTTTTTTTTTTGAGACAGAGTCTTGCTGTGTTGCCCAGGCTAGAGTGCAGTGGCACCATCTGGGCTCACTGCAACCTCCGCCTCCTGGGTTCAAGCAATTCTCATGCCTCAGCCTCCCAAGTAGCTGGGATTATAGGCATGCGCCACCACACCTAATTTTGTATTTTTCGCAGAGATGGGGTTTCACCATGTTGGCCAGGCTGGTCTTGAACTCCTGACCTCAGGTGATCCGCCCATCTTGGCTTCCCAAAGTGCTGGGATTACAAGTGTGAGCCACCGCACCCAGCCAATCCCATCTACTTTCTAGCTTCCAGTATTTTCTCAGACTTTCTCATCTGCTGGCACCCTGTCTTGCTTTCCAGCACTGATCTGATTTCACTCTTTAAAAAATATATTTTATCCCCATGGATCCATGGTGTAGTGGAGAGGTGGATGCATGTGCTCAATTTGTGACTTCCAAACTAATATATTTTTCAAACTTAATTTTTTTTCCTAATTCACATGGTTCAGAAGATACTGAAAGGTCTATCAAGAGGGTACAGGAAAAAATTTTTAAAGGTACTAAAAGGATATATAAAGTGAAAATGTCCCTTTCATCCTATCCCAGATAAAGACTACAGGTTGTCCTCTTATATTTATTCTGCCCTTCTTTCTTTAGAAACAAAATCTCCAATTTTAGCTATACTCATGAATGCTCAGCTAAGGAGGGCGTTTCCTAGTTGTGTCCAAGTCACTGAGTTCTGGCCAGTGGGAGGTGAGTGGAGGCCATGTGCTTAACGTTCAGTGGCTCTCCTAGAGGGCGTGGATGTGCCTTTCACTTTCTTTACTCCCCCTTTCTTATTGGCTGGATTGCAGAGGTGATGGTGAGCCATCCTCCTCCCTGCAGAGGAAGGCAACACTGTAGTGATGGCAGAGCCACACAATGGAATGATCCTGGGTCCCTGACACTTCGTCACCATTATACCTGCCCTGCTTTGTGAGACAGAATTGAAATGCTATCTTGTTTAAGCCTTGCATTTTGGGGTCACTTCTTATGACAGACAGCCTAGTCTGTCTGCTAATTGATATAATCTCTGGGCTATTCAGCTCACCTTCCTGGAGGCAACCAATGTAACCATATTGCTGGATTCTTCCAGGGATATTTCATGCATAAACTAACAAATGCATACAGGCATGCATGCATGAATGCATTCATATGTACATAAACACATATATCCAACCATGCATGTAGCCCCCTCTCCATTTTCACATAAATGATGCTGTACCAAACAGCTACACTTTAAAGAGGCCAAGCTTGGTTTGGAGGAGGATTGCTGGTAATGGCCCTCAGCTCAGCTTCTCCTTTTCTTGCTGACAAGGTGAGCTCTCTCTCCAAATATACACCACCTCCTAGCAAACCACAAACCCTGCAGCTACTGAACCCGCTTTCCTCTGAGGCAGTTTATTACTCAAGCACAACCCTCAGCGCCTTCTTACCCCTTCCCCCCTAAAAAAGAGGTTTATTGAAATGTTCTAGCCACAGAATAGCCTCCCTGTAAACAATTCCAATGCATTTTCCACCCCGTTTTTCATCTTTCTGGGGTCTCTGAGTGACAGGGGTTGGTACTCCAGGCGGATGTCCAGGGGATCCCCCTCCTCCCCCAGGAGGGCTTGACCCAGCCCTGCCATGGCCTCTGGAAGCCCTGGATGTGGATGTCTCCTAAAGAATGAAGCTGATTGCTGACGGTCTCTGTAATGGCCTCTTTCCTCTCTGCTCATCTTCTCCCCAACAGCCACGTTCCCATCCTGGGTCCAATGCCCTGAACTGATGTTGTAAGAGAAAAGCACAGTAGATTGGACAGTATCTCCACCAAATTCTACTCTTTCTAAAAGGGAGGGAGAAGTCTGAAATCCACTCAGGTTGGCAGGGGAAGGAAAAGGTGTATGTGTGGGAGGGGGAATGGGGTGAGTCTTAGAGCTGGGAGATGCTACAGATGACCATCTCTTGTGCGGCCTTGGCCATCATAATATCACCAAATGTCCTTACTCCTCTGCTTGTCTGAATCCTGCCTAGCTCAAAACTCATACCGTCCACTCTAGATAGCCTCCCTGTCCAAGGTGGCAATGTCTGTCTGTCTGTTTTTCCTTCTCTCTCTCATACACACAAACACACACACACACACACACAGGCTGTTTCTGATTCATTTCTCGGTTCTTAGAGTCCGTCATAGAGGTGCTTAGGCGCTTCTTGTGAAATGAATATGTTTTTAATTTTATTTTTTGAATAATCACTTAATTAAAAAATCATCTTGAGATCATATTGGAAGAAAAAAAATCAGAGTATCTTTCCCTGAGAATTCTTCCTCTCACCCTTGTCCAATTCACTCCACCCCATCACCTCCATTGACAACTGTCTTTGTTAGTTTGTTTGTCCTTCCAGTGATTCTTATGTAAATGTGAACAGATATTTGTATTCCTCCCTCCCTTCTTACACAGAGTATCCAATGTTCTTTTATTATTCCCCATTATAACCTAGAGATTTTAAAATTAATAAATTTAAAATACTGATCCATTTGCTTTTTCACAATAAAGCATGTATAGGTACAATCCCATGCATGTTACAATAATTTATTTTTCTTCCAAAGAAAAATGTATCCATGGCCTTTTCCTGAGAGGAAGTTTTCAGGGGAGAAACTATCCTGGTGATTGTAGAATTCTTAGCCCAGAAGACAGCTGGGCTTGGGAGGCTCTGGGACCCAGGTGAGTGCAGGAACTTTCTTACCAGGTGGCTCTGAGAGCTGGGAGATGAGCCACCTCTCATTTGCATTTCTGAGAGAGGCAGGCAGGGAAAAGAAGCCTGGCTCAGAGCATTGTCTCCAGCCCGAGTCACTTTTGGGCTGTGTATCAATCAGAGTTCCAAAAGAACCTGATGGGGATATAGATTAAGAGTTTTATTGCAAGGAATTGGCTTACATCATTACGGAATCTGAGGGGCAGGCCGTCAGGAAAGGAAGGCTGGGGCCCTGGGACAGGATCTATGGCCTCAGTCTACAGGCAGAATTTCTTCTTCAGGAAAGCCTCAGCCCTGCTCGACTGATTGAATCAGGCCCACCCTGGTTATCCAAGACAATCTTTTTTATCCAAAGTCCACTGATTTCAACCCCATCTACAATATACTTTCATAGCAATTCCTAGAGTAGCATTTGCTTGAATATGGGACTGTTCACAAGTTCACACATCAAACTGTCACAGGTTGACTTGGCTGAAACAGATTGTGTGAGAGCAGAGGCTAAGTGGGGGGCGTTGGAGTTTTGTTGTAGTTGTTGTTGTTTTGTTATTTTCTGGAAATCAATGTTATTTCCTTAGATGATACTACCCAGGGTAATCACGGCTGCAACGAGTTATTCCATCTATCAGTGGAATGAAGCATTTTTTTTTGCCAACTTGATGCTTGACTTTCCTAACTTACCTGCAAGAAGCGACCCCATTAGCCTCTTTCACAGGTGAGGAGCACACCTCAAGTTCTCTTGCTCATAAACCCAGTAGGAGTCACTGGGATTTGGCCCTCATCATGGTCACTGAGGGGTTAAACCTGCCGCAGCTCTGCTGACCCCTGAGGGTTTCAGCCAGTACTCCATGGCCATTAATCATCCTCATCTGGGACCAGGGCTGCGGGGAACAACGTTTACTAGCAATTAACCTACAGTAGAGGGACCATTGTTTCCCCCGCCTGCACTCCCCTCCTCTGCACGCCCAATTACTCTAAATTAACATTTACCAAGCAAAGTGCCTGTTAATTGGAAGGGCAGTAGAAAGAAAGGCCACACACCTACCCAGTCTAACTTAATAACCTCAAAAGCAGCCATTAATTAACAGGGCAGCGTTTCCATTCAGATCTTGTTTAGACAGTTCGGCAGTTAACTCTGTGTCTGTGTTTCTGAGCTCAGCCCTGCACCGCATCTCCCTGCCCTCCCTTGCCAGCAGCTCAGATGAAAAACACACTCATAAAGAAATCTTCACTCTCTAGAATGTCTGCACTGGCCAGGGGACTTAGGGATTCCTGGGGACAGCCTTCTTACTGTGTAGATGGGGAAACAGGCTGAGAAAGGCCTCAGGGTCCCAGGGTCAGACACTAGCTGGAGGCCTCCTGGCTGGGGGCTCCTATCCACCCTGCCCGATGTGTGTGGGTGTGACATGCTTTCTGTCCTCTCTGGTCTCAGTGCCTGATGCCAGGCACTCAGGATGTGGACTTGCATGAAGCCGGGGAGCAGGGGTGGGGCTGGGGGTGCGGGTAGAAAGGGGGATGCTTCTAAGAGGAGAGAGGGAGGGATGGAGAGGAGGGGGCTCCCTCTCACAAATGGAGAGCAGCTGCGGTGTCTCCAGGCAGCCCCGAAGGCCTTCGTCCATTGTCCCTCCCCACTTGTGCAGTTGGGTTGAGTGGCAACTGTACCCCCAGCCCAGCAAATGGAGGGTCCTGCCCACTTGACCCTGGGCATCCCTCGAGCCCAGCCTTCCTTTCCTGTGCATACTCATGGTCTCCTCCTCATTTGGTAGCCCTGGGGACCCCTGGCCAGTACCCTTCTTTCCCCAGGGCAACTGTTCACAGCCTCCTGACTTGCCTTAATGTCCTCATCAGACAACCTCACCTCCCTCCCTGAGAAACTCAAGCCCTCCAGGAGGGGCCTGCTTAGCTTCCCTTCCTCCCCCTGGGGCTCAGCCTGCCCTGTCTATAGGGCCTGCCTTGTTGGTGGTAGTTGGTTGCAGAGTTGGCCTCAACCCCCAATCTGGATCTGGACTCTGGTCTCGCGCCTCTCCAGGCTCCTTCGGGCTCATCGTCTCTCTGCAGGTCTCCACTCGCTCACTTCCCCTGCATCCTCCCCACAGCACAGGGCATACTCTCAGGGGACGCCCCTCCTAAATCAGCCCTGCCGTCCCCCATGGTCCTCCAGCTGGTGTCGAGCTTCTCCAAAGGGACATTGCACAGGTTGCGTTTTCCCACCTCCCACCCACTCTCAATTCTCCATAGTTGACCTTTGGCCCTCAACTGCCCCACAGAAACTGCCTTTCTCAAGTTTAAAACAACCTCCTTGTTACTAAGTCCAGGAGACACTGTGTAGGTTTCTGTTTTTGTTTTTTTATATGACCTTTTTGTAGGATTTTCTGCTGTTGCCCACTCACTCCCTCCCTCCCCTCTGAAACTCCTGACTTCCATGATAGCACTCTTTGTTTCCCAGGCGTTTCTTTCTGCCAGTCCCCACAGGATTTTCTGTGCTGGCCCCTTCTCTTCTGGTCACATATTCTCCGTGGGTGGCCTCATCCACTCTGTGGCCCCATTACCAACTAGATGAGGAAGAAGGGGAAGAGGAGGAAGATGATGACAGTGACAACTCCCAAATCTCTATACTGGGCCAGATTTAACTCCTGAGCCTCAGACTCCATCAACCACCTGGGAGTCCTCCTACTTGGGAGTCCTGCAGGCATCTCACGCTTGCCATGCTCAAAATGAGCTCATTAGCTTCCCCTGTACTGCTTCTACTTCCGGGCTTCTGTGTCGTTGGAAGTGCCGCCATGCACAGGGGAGTCATCCCTGCTGCCACCTCTCATGTTCAATCAATCAATCAATCACTCTTCAAGTCTCGTACCTTCTTATGTCTCCAACAAGCCTCTGGATTCCCATTGCCACTACCGTAGCTGTGACACATTCCAGTCTTACCTCCCTACAGGCAGAGCTACCTTGCTAAACTCATATTTCATCACATCATGCCCTTCAGTGGCATGGCGTTGACCTCAAGATAAGGTCAAGCTACTTAGAACATCATAGAAGCCAGATTCCTCAAGACCACTCGAGCATGACACATTGGGAAAATTCCTGCACTCTGCAAGGGTTCTAATCTTGGCCTCAGCTTTTTCATTTTAACGAATAAAACAAACATTCCCTCAATGGTGTTGGTTCTTAGAACCATGATATCCTAATTTCCTAATTATAGTCTTGTCATACTTCTATGAGGCAGGTGTTATTGTCCTTGTTTTATAGGTAAGAAAAATGGAGTCTCAGAGGGCACAAGCTCACAAAGTAATTAAGGTAGGATCTGAACTCAGGTCTGACATTTCCTATGTTCTTGCCAGGATCCCTCAGCTGAACAATTGAACAGAGAAGAGGTGGGGGCTTCCAGTGACCCAGGGACTGTTTGGACCAGGCCACAGATCTAAGAGACCTTCTCACACTGCAAACCTCTTTTCCTGTGTGCCACCGGGGATGTGTACCTGGGGCTTGAGCCCCTGCCTGAGCTCTGGATCAGAGAGAGCCTGCTCCTGCACCTTGTCTGAAATGGAACAGGGGTGACAGATGAGCAGAGGATCAATAGCCATCTGTCCAGGCTCCACTGACAAGCTAATCTTTTCAGTAAACATTTCATTAGCTCCTGCCAGTCTGCTGCACCTGCTGACAGGAGAGGCCAAACGGAGTAGGGGGAGGGGAACCTCCGCTTTATGGTAGGGCTCCAATGGCAGCAGGGGTCTCCTGGCCCCTGAGAGCTAGTTAAGCTCAGCTGGAATACCCCTGCCACGCACTGGAGGAATCCGGATCATCCCCAAGATTTTTGTATTTGAAGGGACTTTTAAAATCATTTAACCCAAGCTCTGTACTTTAAAAAGAGAGAGCGCAGTCCTCAAAAGTGACTTGCAGAAAATCAAAGTAGCCACTTGCAGAGACATCAGTGGAAATCAGACCGGGTTCTTTTCCATGTTGTGAAAACATTTGTATTCATTTTGTAATATGCAAAACATTTGAAATTATATACAGTTGTAACCAAACATCTTTGGAATGGGAGTATTTGTGAAAGAAGGGTGTTGGGTGGGTGGCAGGAATTTTCCTTTAATGTGGGTAGATTTAATTGTGTCTCCATGAAGGGGGCTGCACAGATTCCATGCAGGGTGACTTATGGCAAATTCTGGAGACTTATGTTCTTTTTGTTTCCTCTAGCTCTTCCCCAGAGAAGCTTCCATGACCACCATCTAAACATGCCCTTCTCCAGGCCCTTGTAAGAACATTATAAGTTCTTACAACAACTTGTGCTTTTTCTTCATCATACTGTTACAACTACTGCTGCTGCTGCTGCTACTGATCATGTCAGTGATATTAATAATAACAAAGCCGACACCTACTGAGCACCCACTATGTGCTGGGCGCCGCGCTAAGTGTGTTCCATATGTTATCTCTTGTAAACCCCACAACAACCCACGAAGGCAGGTGCTATTATATTATACTTTCCCATTTTGCAGATGAGCAAAGTGTCTCTGAGAGGTTAGGTGGAGGAGTGAGGGGTTAGAGCCTGGGTTTACCTCACTTCAAAGCCCAAGCTCTTACCCACCATATTGCATTTGCAGCTCGTGGTTCGTGGAATTATTTGGCTATCATCTGGCTCCTCCAGCCAGATTGTGAGGTCTACGAGGCTAGGAAGTACAATCAGTTGCCTCAGCACTATGTCCCCAGCACAATGGTTTCTTTGTTTGATTATGAACTGATGCAAGGTATTGTATGTGAGTTTGTTTAGCCTTTACTGCTCCCAAGCCAGTGGAAATAAGCTGGGTTTTGTTCATTGCTTTCTTGGGGAGTGCTGTTTGTGTTAGCCATGCAAATTCACTCTTCTCCTCTGCTGCTTCCCCAAAGTACTGCCTGCAAATATAGCTAGTTTGGGTGAGCTCTCATTTATAGCCCCTTTTCCTTTGCTTTTTAGAACAAAACCATGTCCAGAAAAATCTTTTTATGCTAGGCAATAACCCTTACTATGAACTCACTGTTCTGAACAAGTGAGTCATTTTGCACATTGGGGGAATACCCCTCAGTGTAGAAAATTATGTTTGCTGGCTCTCTTGGAGGCCTGCAGCCCCTCACGGCCTCAACGTGCTCCCCTTGTTCTATCTCCTGTTTTATCTCCACTGCTTTGGGCAGCCCTTCCAAATAGTTTTCATCCTGGAGTTTAGGTTGTCTCTACATTTCAATAGAAATTGTTGCTTTTGGATGATTTCCAGAAAAAAAAAATGGACATGCTGACATCTTGCCATGGGGTGACTTTATGGGAATTGGGGTGCCTCTGGGTGAAGGACAGTTTCAGATGATGGCTGCCATGCAAGGATGCAGCTTTTCTCAGAGCTGAGACAGGACCCAGCCAGAATGCTTGGTGTCTGATTCTAATGTCCTTGATCTTCAACTCTGCGTTAGAAGGCCTTCATTAGCCGTGCTAATAAAAGAAAAATAGAAAACACTGAAAAACTAACACAAAAAATTAAAATGGGCTGAGCGTGATGGCTCCCGCCTGTAATCCCAGCACTTTGGGAGGCTGAGGCAGGTGGATCACATGAGGTCAGGAGTTCGAGACCAGCCTGGCCAACATGGTGAAACCCCATCTCTACTAAAAATACAAAAAAAATTAGCAGGGTGTGATGGTGCATGCCTGTAATCCCAGCTACTTGGGAGGCTGAGGCAGGAGAATCACTTGAACCCGGGAGGCAGAGGTTGCAGTGAGCCGAGATCATGCCGTTTCACTCCAGCCTGAGCAACAAGAGTGAGACTCCATCTTAAAAAAAAAAAAAAAAAAAATTTAAAATGACCCATAACGTTTCCACCTAGTGAAAACTACTGTTAAAGGTGTAACATGGTAGATAAACACCTTCAGATTTTTCTCTATACATACATATGCACATACAAAAAGATGATCCTACTAGGCATATGATTCTGAAACTAGTTATTCTCAATTAGCACTATAGAATGAATATATTCCCATCAATAAACAGATTTATTTAATTTTTTTTTGAGGCAGAGTCTCGCTCTGTCTTCCAGGCTGGAGTGTATTCAATTTTTAATGGATCTATGATGGTCTAGTGTATGCATGGCATATGATTTATTTAATTGGTAACTTAGTGATGCACACTGCTTCTCATTTTTTAGCTTTCTAAACAATTCTTCACTGAATATCTTTGGCTGTATACCCCTGTCAACTTGCCTGAGTGTTTTCTCCTAAAGCAGGGTTTCTCAAGAGTGACAATAATTCTTATTCTGGGGGGATGTCCTGTGTACCATGAGATGGGTAACAGCCTCCCTGGCCTGCATCACTAGATGCCAGCAGCACCCCTTCCCCAACTTGCTGACAATCAATGTCTCTACATTGCCAAATGTCCCTTGGGCAGCACAGTTGCCCCTGCTTGAGAACCACTGCCCTAAGGATAAAGTTCTTAAGATAAAAGTTTAAAGAATATGCATATTTTAAGGTTTTTGTTATCTATTGCCAAATTACCTTCTCAGAATTGCACTGATTTATGACTTTATACTCCAAACAACAGTGTATAATAGCGCTCAATTTCACTACCCTTATGAATATGAACGTTAGCACTAAAAAAAGCCCAGCTCAAAACATTTTACCAATCTCAGAAAACAAAATGGGTTTTTTGTTTGTTTTTGTTTTGCTTTTTGAGACAGAGTCTTGCTCTGTTGCCCAGGCTAGAGTGCAGTGGCATGATCTTGGCTCACTGCAACCTCCCCCTTCCAGGTTCAAGTGACTCTCCTGCCTCAGCCTCCTGAGTAGCTGGGACTACAGGCGTGTGCCACCATGCCCAGCTAATTTTTGTATTTGTAGTAGAGCTGGAGTTTCACCACGTTGGCCAGGCTGGTCTTGAACTCCTGAGCTCAGGTGATCTGCCCACCTTGGCCTCCCAAAGTGCTGGGATTACAGGCATGAGGCACTGTGCCCGGCCAGAAAACAAAATACTATCTCACTGACTTTTAAAAATTACTAGAGTGAGACTGA
Organism: Homo sapiens; assembly: GCF_000001405.40. Taxonomy (NCBI): domain Eukaryota; kingdom Metazoa; phylum Chordata; class Mammalia; order Primates; family Hominidae; genus Homo; species Homo sapiens. The sequence continues at coordinate 99,176,290 of NC_000009.12, forward strand.
ACATGAAATGAAACTATGTTGATTATACAGATTAGCTATTGTTTCCACGGTGAATTATTTTTCCTTATAATTTACTATTTTTTCCTTTGGAATATTCATTTTTGTCTTATTTTTTCATGTCAGCTTTTAATATTATGAACAGAATGTACATATTTTTCCTAACTTGCTGTTTGTCTTTATGTGTTGAGATGTGTGGTCTTATTTGTTCAAAAATCCTAAGAGGGTTGTAAACAGGGCCAGGAAGAGAGTCCTCACACAGGTGTCTCTCTGGGGGCCCTGAATCGTGTCCCTGCCAGTGAGCCTCCAACCGGCTGGGTCTCTGTCTAGCAGAGGATCCTATGTGAGTCATGCTCTTTTTTATTAAAATCTGCTGAATGTTCCTTTTGTGTCTGAGTGAAAAGTTCTGGCTCTGAAAACTCAGTTGTCAGGGGAGCCTTGATCTGGGAAGACTGACCTGGGGCTCAACAATAATTAGTTCAGGTTAATTATTGGCAATCTGTAGATGTGCAGCATAGGAGCTTCTCTTCCCCTCGGCCTGGGCCTCTGGAGGTTTCTTTTATGAGCTCTGAACCCTGAGGGAGGACTTAAAGTAATGAATTTTCCTGTAATCAGATTTGAGGGTTTGTTCCCTGAGCCATCCAGTCAATTGGAGAATTGAGCACTGACTGGTTTATTTGGCTACGGGATGCAGGAGATGATGCACAGAGCATCTGATAAGCAACCCGGGGAGGAGAGTGAAGAAATGGCATGACATATTCAAGAAGTTGACCTCTGGGCTTGGAGGGAGCGGTTCTGTTTACAAGGGGGACATAGTGTCTGGGAGCTATTCAGAAGAGTGGGGTATTTTATTTTGAGTATCAGGGAGTAAGAGTTCTGCTTATCCTCGAGGGGAACCTTGTGAGATTCACCTTGAACTTCATTCCTATGACAGCAGTGCAGTTTGTACATGTTTATAAACACTTAATTTGTTCAGGTGAGCCACAGTGGCTCACTCCTAAAATCCCAGCACTTTTGGAGGTTGAAGTGGGAGAATTCCTTGAGGCCAGGAGTTTGAGACCAGCCTGGAAAACATAGTAAGATCCCACCTCTACAAAAAAAGTAGAAACATTTGCCGGCCTTGGTGGCACGTGCCTGTAGTCTTAGCTACTCAGGAGCTGAGGTGGGAGGATTGCTTGAATACTGGAGACTGAGGCTGCAGTGAGCTAGGATTGTACCACTGCACTCCAGCCTGGATGGGAAAGCAAGACCCTGTCTCAAAAAAAAATTAAATATTTAATTTGTTCAGATTTATTTAGCATCCATTCATTTGTTCATTTATCCATTCAATCAACAAGGAGGCACTGGGGATATAGAAAATACCTGCCCCTGCATTATTGGAAGAAAATAGATGCTTCATGCGGATTTGTGTTATGTAAACAGGGGGTCACAATGAGAAAAGTTACAGAGGCCAGGCAGGCCAAGTTAGTGAGGCGGGGGTTGGGTCAGGGAGACGATAGGGAGTGGTGAGAACTGGGGTGAAGTGAAGAGCCCATGTCTTCTCTAAGGAACAGCTGCCTCAGCTCCAGCCAATGGTTGCCAACAGTGTGGCCCAAAATTGCCACGTTTTCCAGTTTTTCAAGAAAAGTCGGAAATCCAGATTTTTTGGGGGGTAAAGTATTTCTATTTTAAAATTTTGGTTCATATTTTTATTAAGCATTCTGCAGGCCAAACAAAACATGTGAGTGGGCCAGATTCAGTTTATAGGCAGCTGGATGTGAACATAAATACTTCTGCAAAGTATGTGGATATTCTGTTTAATAAACACACCTACAAAGAAGACAAGGAGATGTCACAGGGGTTAGAAACCAAATAGAGGAAGGAGGCGAAGCTGGGGTAGGGGAGAAATATTTATATCAGAAGCCTAGGGTAAGGTGACTCTGAAGCATGAGACAAGCTTAAAGCCTACTGCCAGGCAAAAAGGGAACGTGTATTGTCTAATAAAAGCACATCTACCTATATATTTAATTTTTTCTTTTTAACATTTCTTTTAAATTAAAAAAATTTTTTTTTTACTGTTTTTGAGATGGCGTCTTGCTTCGTCACCCAGGCTGGAGTGCAGTGGCACGATCTCAGCTCACTGCAACCTTTGCCTCCTGGATTCAAGCAATTCTCCTGTCTCAGCCTCCCAAGTAGCTGGGATTACAGGCGCCTGCCACCATGCCCAGCTAATTTTTTGTGTTTTTAGTAGAGACAGGGTTTTGCCATGTTGGCCAGGCCGGTCTTGAACTCCTGACCTCAAGTGATCTGCCAGTCTCAGCCTCCCACCCTTCTGGGATTACAGGCATGAGCCACTGCGCCCGGCCAGTATTTAATTTTTTCTAATGTTATCGACTAAGTAGATGTGATGAGTGCTATGCTAGATTCTTTACCAAATGTAACTCTCAACTCTGCTGTCGGAACACCCTCATTTTTCAGGAGAAGAAACGGAGGCCCTGGGTGGTGAAATGACTTATGGAGCTGAGGCTTGCACCTGGACCCGGCCTTTGCAACAAGGTGTTTCTGAGAACAAGAAGGAGGCAAAAGCTACTTTAGGAGGTGGCGAGCACCACATTGCTACAGATTTATAAACAGGAAATGAAAGAGTATGTGATATTGAGGGAATTCAAGTATGGAGTGGGAGTCAGGCCAGAGGAGAGTGAGATGCTAATGAGCCTAGCTTGGGGAAAGGGCACCAAAACTCTGAGGCGCCGGTCCTGCCCTTCACCACTTCTTAGAAAGTTCTTCCTTCTATTGAGCTGAAACCTGTGTCACGGGTCTAAGCTCTGCCCCTGGGACAGTTGGGGGTGGCAATGACTGAGCATCTAACATATGCCAGGCTCTGTACTGGGCTTCAGGGCTGCCGTGATAACTCAGACATGGTTCATCTCCCCCAAGGAGCACACAGCCCACCTCGACACACAGGTGTGAGAACAATTGCATTTGTCTTATTGCTACCCTGCCTGGCATCCACCCTGGAGCCCCGCAGCGCTCAGTCACAGCACATCTTCCCCTCTGAATCCCTCTGATTCATATCAGAGTGCTGGGCCTGCAGGGGGTTGGCAGTAGATCCTGTTGCCACCCTGTCCCACATTCTCTGGCCCTGGAGTTCTCCTGAAGCTGCAAAAGGCAGTCCCCAGCTTGTGGGATGATTCTGAGGCTGGTTTCAGTATTTCAGAGGGTCCCCAGTGGGTCTGAGCCCACAGCTGCCTTCCTTGGCTTCTGGAGGCCAATTTTCCGTCTCATTTTCCTCACTTTCTTGCTTTGCCGCCTGACATTGCCTTCTCGATTAACTCTCTGCACCCAAGTCGTTGCCTCAGTTCTGCTCTTTGGGAAACCTAAACTAAGATGGACACCCTCCCATTTCACAGGGAGGAAAACTGAGTCCCAGAAGAAGGGCAGTGGCTTGTCTGAGCCACCCAGATGGCGAATGACAGAGAAGACCTTGATTCCAGGTCCGTGGCCCTGAGCTCAGCCTCGCCGGCTCCTTCCCCACGGTACCTCCCAGTCTTCCTTAGTCTTCCATCATCTTAGGCTCGGTTTTTCTTTTTAGCAGAATTCAATGGTAACAAAGTCAGAATTTGGGGTATTTTTTCAGATCTGGGAATTTTTTCTCCCATGATACTTCTGGTATTGCTGCTAACCTAGCCCGGTTTTTATCTGTAGCACCTTTTATTCATAGGTTGGAGATCCACGATTGATAGCCATGCCTGTTACCGCTTTCATCTTTTCTATTTCTTAATCGCATTTCTGGAAACATCTTGTAAGTTTATTATAATATATCTTGTAAGTTTATTATAATAAACATTTTATCAGTTTATTATCTGAAGTAAGAAATTTGTTGCTTACCGGTTTCAGTGCATTTTATCTTGAAACTATTTTCCTTTACTTTCTCTCCTTACCTCGCTCAGTTCTTATTTAATAGAACTTCCATATTTTGATGTCTCATTAAGAATATGCCCCTATCCATTCCCAAATTTTCCTTCTATTTCAGGAAGTGATTGTGTTTTTAAGGAAAGGTTTCCTTTGGACCTTACTATACCTGGTTCCTATTCTCTCTGTTACACAATTTTCACAAGGCCCCAAGTTGAGGTTTCATATGTTGGTTTTGTTATCTATCATCACATTCTTGAGCAAACAGATCTATCTAGGCCCAGTGTTGGTATCTCCCAGAAGTGAGGATTAGCACTAATTTCTTCTTAGTTTGCTATGACTTGGCCAGTGGTTGAGGAGTATGTACAGAAGCAATTGATGGGTTTTCAGTGAATTCTAGTTCCTTCCTCCAGGAAAATGTCCCATTTGAATCTCTTAGAAAATGCAACCACTTTAGTAGGTCTGAACTCAGGAAAAAGCTCCTTGGAAATGGACTTTCGAGTCCAAGCAGAGAAGAAAAGTCTAGAGACCGTTCTAGACAGGTGCTGTTTCTGAGGACAGAGGCCACCAGGGCCTTCACAGAAGGAAACTCTAATGGATCTCCATTGGCAGGCACCTACATGGCAGAATGTGGTCTGCACCAGGCCAGGGGCCGTGGCCTCTGATGGAGGGTGAGGCTTCCTGGACCAGAAGCCAGGAGAGCGAGGCGAGTCGCCAAAGGGGAGTGAGGACACAGACTGCAGCAGGGGCCCCTCTGCCCTCTGATCTCTCATTCACTGGAGGGGACCGTGTTTTTCCTCCCGTCCTCAGTTGTGCTTGTTTCTCATTTTTCTTTGCAATGGCCTGGTTTTCCCTTCCTTTTGGCAAGTGTCGTGGGTGATATGAAGGGAATTCTTGAGATTGTATTTCCATTCAACCTGCCTCTTCTCAGGAGCCACTCACTGATTTCAGACAGGAATTCTATGTTGAGTGTAGATTACAAAACATTTAGAAATAAAGCACGGAGATTCCAAAAGGGATTCATTCTACAGGGACGTGAGACTCTTGAATATGTCATTCTGAGTTAATTCCATTCTGTGCTTAATTCCAGTAAAGGAGATAAAAGAGAGGCAGCCGAAGACACAGGCTACACAGAACTGTGCTGGCCACATGCCTCAGTGCCTCATGCTGAGGGTGGGGCAAGAAAGCACATGTGCACACACACACACACACACACACACACTCACATACACAAGAACATCCAGGGATGTGGTCAGGTTGGAAGTCCACAGGAGCTGAGATTTGGGAAAAATGACAAAAAGGCTTTGCTGACTCTACCCTGTGTGAGTTCAAAATTGCACTCAACTGTTAGCAACAGAGGCCTGAAAAACAGTGGCTTAAACAAAATAGGGGTACATTTTTTATCTTAGGCAGGGCAGGACTGCTCTGGTGGCTTCACAATGCCATCAACATCTTGAGCTCCTTCTATCTTTCTGTTCTGCCATCCTTAGTGAGTGGCTTCCATCTGTAAGGTCACCTCATGGCCCAGCATGGCTGCCAGCACCCCTACCCTATCTGTGTTACAGGCAGGAAGAAGAAGAAATTGGGGAAGAACAAAAAGGGTGCCTTTCAAATGCGTCAGCATCTCTAAAGGAATTCCCCAGAAATCCCCCCAGTGACTTCTGTGTACAACTGACTGACCACATCTGCAGGGGAGGCTGCAGAATGTGGTTTTGTAGCGGGGCACATTACCACATTCAACAATATGGAGATTCTGTTACTAAAGGAAAGGAGAGAGTAGACAAGGAGAAGGCAACTAGCGATTCTGGACACGAGCTCCAGGAAGACAGTAAACAGAGGAGGAAAAGTACTGCCCTCCTCACCCATCTGGGGTACACGGGACACTATCAATAAGCGATAGAAGCCCAGGACTCAAGCTGTAGTTAACTTGCTTTCCTCTCTTCTAAATGTTAAAGGAAAGTTCACATCCAGGGTAGTTAGGAGACAGAGCAGCATTTTAAATGCTGTCAAATTCCAGCTGAATTCAGAAAATTCAGAATTTTCTGAACGGTGTTGCACAAGATGTTTTTGAATGTTACATGAAAAAATGAGTCCCTAATCAAAAAGTTTGGGAAACTCTGGATTGAACCAAGTTGTGCAGTTTATTTGATTGCAGAAAATGTTGGGGTCACTGGTGTGCTCACTTGCCTTGTGATTTTTTTTTTTAAATTTTGGACAGAGAACATTCCCATATTTGACCATGGACTCACTTCTTACAGAAAATCCCATGGGATAAACATTCCACATAGTAAACATTTAGGAAATAATGGTGTGGTCAGAGGCTACATCTTTACCCTGCCGGTTTTCTCAAAGCACTGCCCATGGGCCACCTACACTAGAATCTTCTTAGCTCCATTACACAACTACTGAATCACAGTCTCAGGCCTGTGGCTTGGAAATCCGCATTTTCAAAGCTCTCTGAGCTATAGTCTTACGCTTATTGAAGTTTGGGATCCACCAGGTGACAGAGTTGTGCCTCCACTTTACAGACACCATGACTTGATCAATTTACATCCAGGTACCTCCTCCTGGCTCCCTAAAACTCATTTCTCTCATCACCATGTGGTACCCGGATAATTTTCTCAGCTCTGTTCCAAGCAGCTTGCATTTATCTTTATTGTTGCTCTTTTTATTGATTTAGGTCCATCTCTGCAATTCGTCAAGCTTGGATTGCATTTTAATCTTGTCCTCCAAAGTAGCTAAGATCCCTTCCAGCTTCCTATCATCCAGAAATCTGATTAGCTGGGTCTCGATTCCATCCTTCAAGCCATTAATGAAAACATTAAATGGTCCTGGCTTGGCATGAAGGTCTTCAGGGTTCTCGGTGGGTATATGGCTCCCATATCTGCCACTAGCCTCTGCTTGGCATAGTCCTGGGTTGGAGATCAGGCCCAATATTTCAGTTGTAGGTTACTGCATCCTCATGCTTCCTCATCCATGCACGTAGTGCAAATCTGTGTAGGAAAAATACAACCTAGTAATTAATTAATTCATTAGACATTAGATCAACAAATGTCTTTAAAACACTAGGTTTTTCCTCACACCAGTGGCATGTTGACCTCAGAATGAAGAAGCTAATGCCGAGTGTGTGCATTAGAAAGATCGATTTTTATGTAAAATGCAACTCGGATCTGTCTTTGTGATACACCATTCCAGGAGGAGATGACCTCAAGACAAGCAGCTTCCATGCAATACTGCAGCAAGGGCTTACTTTCCTGAGCATTTCCCACGCTCCAATCACTGCTCTAATTCCTTTAGATGTGTTAACTCACTTCCTGCTCACAATACTTCTATGAGGTGAGTGCTATGGTTATCTCCCTTTTTTAAGGTACTATGCAGATAGTGCCAGAGCTGATAAGTGTCAGAGCAAGAATTCAGGCTCAAGCAGTCTGGCTTCAGGGCCCAGGCTCTGGACCACTCTTCCATCCCGTTGCAGCAGTGGTTGAGTGGATTATGTGGTGGGAACAGCCTACCCAGTGCTCAGAACCCAGAAATGATCAGAAAGACTCACCGTGGTGCTCATGGGTTTTCAGCAGTCATCTCTGTTCATGTTCCCAAACCATGCCAATCAATATTCTTTGCTGCTATTGGGTAGATGAGGAAATGGAGGGACCAAGATAACTGCCCCAGAGCCAACCCCAGGTCCAGCGGACTCTTTCCTCCTCAGAGGCTTGCCCCAGGAGAGACCAGCTGAACAGGCATTGCCTGGGACTCCTTGGGGAAGTGGAGGTTGGAAAAGTAAGTGAAGGAACAAGCACTGGGGGGGGGGTCAGTGTTCAGTTCATCCCTTGCTATGGCCCCATCCTCAAACCTGTCACAAAGCCCTGCCAGCCAGGGCACCCACAAAGCCCACCTTCTCCAGAGGGGCCTGAATCTCTTGTTGGGCTTGGTGTGGGTTTCGGAGGCGATGACTGGGCTGAAGTGACCTCTCTCATTCAACAGACTCAGCCACTCAGGGCTGGGCCTGGCCTGACTCTAGGAGCACAAGATGCAGCCTCTGTCCTCAGAGATTCAAAGGTTGAGCAGACATTGGCCACAGTCCCGGCTGGCTCCGACCGTGGCAGAGGCTGAACCAGAGCAGAGGAGGAAGCAGAGGGGTGGGCCGCAAGCTCTTCTTGGAGTCTCAGGAGCTGCAGAGAGCAAGCTGGGCTTCCTGGAGGAGGAGGCGTGAGAGTTGGGCCTTGAAGTAAGGTTTCAGTGAAAGCGGAGGTGCGGGGTGGGTGGGGTGGGTGTTGAGGGGGTGTGAACACTCATGCGCGGCCTCATGAGCACTGGAGCAGCGCTGGCGGCTAGTGATTTTTCAGACAAATGCCTGCCAAAGCCTCTGACATAAATCAATTTTTCACTTCATTCCTTCTGACTCAACCCCTCCGTCAGGCACTCAGCAGCTGTTTCCTGAGCTGATGTACATCTCATTAGTCTATCAAGCTCCAACAGCCAAGGCCAAGGCCCCCAGAATGAAAAACTGACGCAGCCACCCCTTCCTGTGCCAGAGACAGGAGAAGGGAGGGAGACTGACGGCCTTTGTTCTCTGAGCAAGACCGTAAAGCACTTCGCCTACAGGCCACAAGAGGGCGATGGTGGTCCACACATAAGATCTTCCCAAAGAGCCAGCCAAAAACGCCTGCCTGGAGAATCTGGAGGTTGTGAAAGGTGACTTTGTTAAGGAAGGGCGATGGCCCTTCTCCCTGCCCCAGAGCTCTGAAAGCCTTTAAAGTGGCTTTAGCAGCGTGGTTTAAGAATGGCTCCTTCGGTACAAGGACGGCCATCACTGCTTCTCCTACTGTGTTTGATGCCAGCGTTCTTCCCGTCTGCAGGGAAGGACGGAGAGTGAGGAGGGCACACAGGACGTAGCTGGCTCCTGGCCATGGACGGTGACCGCTCTGGGGCCAGCAGGGTAGAGCTGCCTTCCTACATCTGAGAACTCAAGGGCGAGAGGGAGGCAGGGCAGGGGAGAGGGTTGGTCTCAGTTCACAGGGCGACCCTCTGGCCCTGGTTCTGACGGCGACTCGCTGTGTAAGCTAAGGAGTGTCTCGCTCTGTACAGCGGGCAGGTGGTGGGTCTCTGCACGTCCAGCATCTCCAGCTTTCCGTCCTCTGAGCTGTTTTGACATGGGAGGCGCTGGCAGGGAGAGAGGGGTCACTGATGTGGGAAGCTGGTGCAGAGCTGGGGAGTAGCTTGTGATGCTGGAGAACCTGGAGATGCCCCTCCCATTCCTTGGGCCTCGACTGTCTCATCTGTGGAATGGGCGGGTCAGACTGGATAATCTCTAACCATTGCTTCCCTTCACTTCTGTCCCAATAAACACACACGGAGCTTTTTCGTTTGTCTTTTGTCTTTTTTTTTTTTTTTTTTTTTTTTTTAGAGACGAGGTCTCACTATGTTGTTCCCCAGGTCTGAGTACAGTGGCTGATCCCACTATTGTCCAGCACAGGAGCTCTGACTTGCTCCATTTCCTACCTGGGCCTGCTCACCCTCCCTTAGGCAACCCGGTGGTCCCCCTCTCCAGAGAGGCCACCATATTAATGCCAAACTTAGCGCAGACACCTGATCGGCATAGTGCACTAAAGCCCAGAACTCCTGGGCCCAAGTGATCCTCCTGCCTTCTGAGTAGCTGGGATGACAGGTGGGTGCCACCACTGTGCCTGGCACAGAGCCTATATTGGTGCTAATACTTCTGATTCTGATTCCATTAAAAAACAAAATAAAACATGTTGCCCTTTGGCTGTTTCTGACCTCCATAGTGCCCCCAAAGTGTCCCAACTGGATAGTGGTTGGAGACCATTACTGTGAATGCACATGTGGCCCTTCTCCACACAGTGCATCTGAGGGAAAATGACAGAACACTCAATCCAATTAGAGGAGGCCAGCACAGGCTGGCAGTGAGGAGCAGGCACGAGGCTGCGTTCCCTGTGCTGGCTCCTGGGCCCATATGCTAAGCTCTGCCTTCAGTTCCTGCAGGAGCTGTCCCTTGTTCAGCCTCAGATGTCCTAGCCTCCAGCCGATGGAGGCTGTGTTAGCTCTATGGTGGCACATGGGCCTTTTGTGGCTCCCATGGCGCATTAATACTTTATGTGGCCCATATTTCTTCAGCTGCATCTTCCAACGCTCCCATTGATTTTTAAATTTCAGTGCAAATACAAAGCAAAACTGAAGTTTATGGAGTGTAGGAGAATCCATCTGAAAATTCCCTAGGGTGGCACCAGAGATTGTAACATTAGATGCACTAAGAAAGAAACAACTGCAGCACATTGCTTGGCTCTGCAGTAAATAATATTTATATAGTCATAGAATTGCAGAGCATAAGAGAGCTGATTATGGTTACTGAAATGTATGGGAGAGTTAGCAAACCTAACAAAAAATAAAAAAAGGTTTGGGGTGGGGAAAAGTAGAACTGAAAGAAGTCAGGAACCAAAGCTGGAGGAAAGATAGAAGGCAAAGAAGCTGCTAGTAACAGTAACAATTGCATCTTACAAAATGAGGAGTCCGGAAATGATGCCTAACATTGATAGAACAAGAAAAAGAGGTTTAACTATTTTATGTCTAGCTGCAAAGGTAACTATGTTAGTCATTAGTGCCACTTGCCAAGATATTTCTGGTTCTCCTTTGTTCTGGATAATTCCTGACCCTCTCTGGTTAGATGGGGCCATGAGATTAGTTCTGGTAACTGAGTTGTGAACCAAAGTGATGGGAATCACTTCCAGGGCTAGCATTTCATTACCAGTGGGATCAATCTTTCTTCTAGAAGGCGACTGGCATTATGTGAGATGGTGGCTCTTCCATCAGCCTTGGGTTTTGAATAATTACAGTGTACAGATTATGCCTCTTCCTGTCCCCCATGGACCTGTAATAGACAAGTCCCATGAGTGAGAAACAAACCTTTCTTGATAGAAGCCATTGGGATTTGGGGTTGTCTGTCATTGCAGCATTACCTGCTGTATCCTGAACTAGCACATAATATAACTTTACTAAAAGGACAGGAGAGGAAGTGGTCGGGGTTATAGGCGAGCTAAGTCTTCAACTATTAGAACATAAAATAAATAGGTAATACAGAATTGTTAATCCAAGAAATAGCAAAATTAACATATTATTTGAGATGTAAAATTGTCTAAAGTGGTTACCACTGGGGAGGGGGACTAGGGATGGAACAAAGGAATTTTGCTTTGTCATAAACCCTTCTCTAGTATTTGGCTTTTGAAATTAAAGTTTGTTAGTTTTTGAAATAGACTAAGTAGGTACAAAAGAGGATACAGGAAGTCAGTCTATTTCTCACTTCTGTTTTCCAATTTGGAGGCAACGCCTTGCCAGTTTCTTAGGTATTCTTACAGGAGCAGTCTAAGAATACAAAAACATAAACAGGCTTACATGCCTTTACTTTCAAGTAGCATTGTATCTTGGACATCATTCCTAACCACTTATTTAAAGCTGCTTTTGCTTAAAAATAGCGGGATAGTATCCCATCGTATGGGTATACTATCACTTAGCTGGTCCGCTATTATGCGACATTTGTTTCTCATTTTTAATGTTATTAACAATGCTCTGTGAATATCTTTGTAAGATGTCATGTTACGCATGGATGAGCCTATCAAAAGGCTAACATCCTGAAAGTGAAATTCCTGGGTATGTGTATAATACATACACCTTTTGAGAAAGTGTACAAACTGCCTACACAAGTTGTATCAATGTTCATTCCCACCAGTACTGGAGAAAGTACCCTGAGCTAGTGTCTCACCTATAAGGTCTATTGATTTGATTTTAATAGGAGTTAAAGTGGTGGGGATTTATTTTCTAAATTACTTCCTGAATTATCCATTGAAATGAATGAAAACAAGACTGTAATACTGCACTGGCATGAAGAGTTTTAAATTAAATCTCACATTCTTCAAATCTCTTTGGCGCTCACTCTTTGCTTCATTTACCCAGCAAATATTGGTTGAGTACCTTCTATGGTCAGGGCTGCTAAACACAGTGAGTGGATGGGTGGACGGACAGATAACCAAACTGTATTTCAGATCTATAGCTCCAGTAAAGGAACTAATGCAGACAAATACTAGGGATTCTGAATATTCTTTCTTTTCTAAAAAATTTTATACCTACACATACATCTACATATCTGTATCTCTCAATGATTCTTTCTCGGTTTCTCCATCATTGAGTGTAGAGTTGTAGAAGCAATGACTTAGTTTGAGAGTAAAACTGTGAAATCATAGCATTTGCAGCTCATTCCCATTCTCTCCAACTTCTTCCACCACTCATAACTGTGACTGCCTCTCTCCCATTCCCCCCAGGATCTCATTTTTTCCACCTCCCTCCTCTTGGCTTCCAACAGGCACAGATCTTCCCAGTTTTCAGATGAGGCTTCCTTTGCCACTGTGCTTATATCAGGACAATCCAACCACCCTATTCCCTGGCTGTGACATCAGCACAAGCCCCCTCGTCCACAACCCAGTCTCCTTTCTGAAAGGAAGACTGGATCCCATCACTCTCTTACCTAAATATATTGGTGGTACCTGTTTGCCTTTCATAAAGCATGGCATCAATGCCCCGAGGCTCTCACTGCTTCTGTGCCAGGCTCGTTGCTAAGTGCTAGGTGCACATACTATTCCATTTCACCCTCCTGACCACTTTCAGAGGGGGGTCATAATATTACCCACCTTGTACAGGTAGGAGCACTGGGGCACTAACGTGACTGAGGACCAAGGACACCTAGCTAGGAAAGGAAGGTGCAGGAATTTGAGTCCTGTTTTCAAAGACTGCCCCTAATCACAACACGATGGCACCATATTGTTTTGATAAGCTTTCTGAGATTACTCCCAAGGGGCAGAATTCAAGGGTCCTACACCTTTGCTTCCAGGTTCCCTCATTGTGGTCTTCATTGTAAGACACTTTGCCATGCAGCTCTCTGCCTCTATTCCTACAGTGGGAAAAATTGAAGCATAGGACGGAGGCAGAGATTCTCAGAAAATGTTGGTGAAGTGGAATCCCACTGCATTCTGGTAGCATCCAATCCTGCATGCCTCTTTTCCTCACCCCTTTCTTCAACCTCTCTGCATCTGGGCTCTGCACGTGCCTCTGTTCCATTCTAGCTAGGTCTTCGGGGACAGGCACCCTTGTGGCCACATGCATTGCCAGCCTGGGGCCCTGCTCTTGTAGCCAAAGTTGTCTTCCAGCTTGGTCTCCAGCACACTGCCCATGAATGGCTGTGTCCCCTCCATAGCTTCTTGCTTTCTAGCTCCACAAGGTAGATGTGCCTTCTATCCACAACCTTCTTACCCCAAGTCAGGGAGCTGTCCACAGCTTTGTCCTGCACTACCTGCCCCCCCACATACAAGACCCACCCACAGTCCCTACTGGGGACATAGGAGCCATTCCATAAACAGAAGCTGGATGAATATTTAATGGGAAGTAGTATATAAACAACTTACGTGGGTGTTGTAACGATCTGCAGTGAAATATTCCCTCACCTCTTGGTGAAATTATCATTCCGAACCACGGAATACATTAGGTTTTATGATCTACTTGCTTCTTTGGGGAAATACAAATCTTAAAACGTCATCTTCATATGACAGGGCAAAGAGTCCCCAGGGACACAAGATGTTTAAGGACGTTAACTGAGAATCAGAAATAGTTTGCGATTAATATTGGGGTTTTGTTTATGGGCATAAATAAATCCCAAGTCTAGGGCTGACTTATAAAAATCTGTCTGTGATGAAAACTCTGATCGCAAATTGATGGAATGGGAAAACAATCTGAATTTAAAGAAGTGATTTGGGGGCAGGCTTACAGTGTTTAGAAGCTAATATTTTCTGGCCATAAATGAATATGCTATTCAAACATTCTGAGTCATCAACTAAAATAAATAGGATAGAGACTAGGAATTTATATTGATGGTCTACAGCTGTCCAAGTTCTGTAAGTAGGTCATGTGAAATGGAGTTCCTTTTCTGGGGTCATTGAAAGGGGCCTGCTGGCCCTTCTTCCTTCCCCATGAAGGCAGGGAAGCCGTAGTAATTCTCAACAGGAGGAGGGCAGAGGAGTAAACACTGGCATTTGGAGCCTGGCGTGACTGGAAGTAGGCAGGGGACCTCATGGAAGAAGCACGGCTTTGGGAGTGGGAAGATCCCTGTTCGCCTCCTCCCCGCCTGTTAGTTATGTGACTCTCACATATCCAACCGTGTTCAGGCCTCCTCCTTGGTCCAGAGCCCATCACAGACTGCCCATGGTTTCTAGAACAAAGTCCAAGCCTCCAGATCTTTAGCCTGGCTCCTGGCATCCTCTGCAATGTGCCTCTGCCACTCTCTAGGCTCGCTTCCCAGCACATTGGGCTTCTGAGCCTCAGCACAGGCTCTCTCACTTCTTGCTCCCTTTCCATAACCTGCAGCCTCTGCCCAGGATGCCCTTCCTCTTAGAGCCATTTGGTTAAAAAAACTGCTCTTCTTTTAAAACAGCTCAGAAGTCATCTCCTCTCTGAAGCCTTCTCAGAGTCCCCTGGGAAGAGGTAGCTTAACCCCCTTCTGACTTTCTAGTAAACCCTGAATATCTTGTAGTCTTGTGGCCTTGTGGTACACAGAATGAGTAGAATATGGTTCCCTGTCTCATTGGTGTTGAATCTGGCTAGGTGGCTTGTTTAGTCCAGGGCCTTAAGAGGCAATGCACTGCTTGTGTTCTTTTGCGCTTCTTTGATTTTCCAAGGGGAATGTAAGGCCATGTGGAGCAAATCTGATCCCAATCCAAACCTGGAGCCAATTCCAGCTGACTTGCATCCTAAGGCAGAGCTGCCCTGGGCAAACTATACAACTGGAAGTGAAAAAAAATGCTTGTTGTTGGAAACCACTGAGTTTTGAGGTGGCTTATTACACAGCATTCATGTGGCAATAGCTGACCAATACATTATCACCTTGGGGCTGAACCTCAGAGAGAAGTGTAAGCAGAAGAAAGTATCAGCTAAGTGTGGAGGAGCTAAAAGATATCAGGGCTGCTACTCTAAGCCTCTCAGAGAAGCCGACCTTTGGTGTGAGGCCGTGTCTAACATGGAAGTGGTAGCACTAGAGAGAAGAAAGATCTGGATAGATGGGCAGAGACAGTGCTCCTGGATGGATATCCAATTCCTGGATAGAGATCCAGGAATTCCCACATGGCCTGGTGGGGGATGAGGAACCTCTAGGAGAACTACTTGACTTATATCAATTAGGGGACAGCACAGGTGAGCTACAAAGCACAGGTTCTTGGGACCTCAGGCTATGGAAGGACTTTAATTATCTCCTTAATACCCCCCAGACCAGACCAATTACCTTCCGCACCAAAAGACCCCATCACAGGACGCCCAGGACCTCACAGAATGGGGATGCAGGAGTAGAGGCCAGTGAAGACCCAGAGGGGAACATAAGCACCCAGGGTCATTCTTCCCGTCACTATGCTGGTACCATATCAGAAATTAGGAGGTGGGGAGTGGAGAATCTATGAACGGAGAAAACCTTATGACTTTATGGATGTTAACTTTAAATCAACTGAAACCATACCCAAGAGACTATTCTAAATGGGAAGAGATGGAGTTACCTTTAATTAAGAAGCTTAAGATGCCCCTGTCCTAGGTTGAATTCCCTCATCAGAGAAAGGGTAGAGGCTTGGGTACAAGATAAGACATGTTGCAGAGAAGACAGTTATTATTATTATTATTATTATTATTATTATTATTATTATTATAACATCTAAGTTGTAGTGGGTAATTGTTTACTTTACTTGCTATGACCTGAATGTCGGTGTCCCCCTAAAATTCATATATTGGAACTTAATTTCTAAGGTGATGGTATTAAGAGATGGAGCTTTTGGGAAGTGATTAGATCATAAGGACTCTGCCCTAATGGGTGGGATTGGTGCCCTTATAAAAGGGTTTTAAGGAGTGAGTTTACCCTCTTCTGCCCTTCCATCATGTAAAGGTACAGAGAAGGTATCATCTGTGAAGAACAGGACCTCATCAGACACTAGATCTGCTGGCACCTTGATCTTGGATTTCCCAGCCTCCAGAATTGTGAGCAATGAATTTCTGTTGTTTATAAATTACCCCGTCTAAAGTATTTTGTTATAGCAACAGGAATGAACTTAGATACCACTATACACACTCTGCTTGCACTGATGGTGCTTTGGAGGTTGAAGGAATTGGGTGTTCGATATGTGCTGAAGAGTTAAGGGAAAAGGGCAGTTGTTGCATGTTACTGGAATTGAAAAGTAGAAAAGCGAACATTTATGTGACTAAGAAAAATGGAAATCCCTTAGCCCTGAAGATCTTCAGTGATATTAGGAAGATTCTCTCTTTCCCATCACATATGGATTTAGGGTTAAAGTCACTCCACTTAAATATTATGGCAACAGAGAGGCGCTCAGGACCTGGAGACCTCCAAGCTGCTGCTGACTTTTGAGTTTCACAACGTTGAGAAGGTAGGGGGTATTATTTTCAATACATCTCTTCTAGAGAAGGATGAAATAAAATGTGTGTGTGTGTGTGTGTGTGTGTGTGTGTGTGTGTGTGTGTGTGTGTGTGTTGGGGGGTGATTCAGGAGAATCTGAAATAGGACAGCCTGATACTGAATTGATCATCATTGTTGCTGTAACAAATTAGCCACAATTAACACAATTAACTTTAGTGGCTTAAAAACAAGCCTCCACTGTGTTTGGAGGAAACTAGCAGGCAATGGGATTGGTTAGTATCCAAGATCATTGTTAAGTGTCAGAGCAGGCAAGAGCCCATCCCTGATGGAAGCCTGAAATGTGGGGTGAGAATGACTCATGGGAGAGTCAGTGACTCCTACTCTGCACTTTGGGTCAAAAAGTTGTATGTTGAACCGAATAATGGTCCCCTAAGGATGCCCATGTCCTAATCCCTGGAACCTATGAATGTTTCATTCCATGGTAAAAGTGACTTTGCAGATGCAACTAAATTAAGGATCTTGACATGGGGAGATTATCCTGAATTATTAATATCTGGGTGGGCGCAATATAATCACAGGAGTATTTATAAGAGGAAGACAGGAGTTGCAGGGAGGGGAGGCGATGGAAGCAGAGAACTGAGTCATGTAGCCATAGGCCAAGGAATACAGGCGGCCTCTAGGGGCTACAAGAGGCAAGAAACAGATTCTTTCTAGATCCTCTCTCAGAAGGAACCATCCTTGCCGACACCTTGATTTCAGCCTCAGAAGACTCATTGTAGGCATCTGACTCCCAGAACTGTAAGAGAATGCATGTTGTTTTAAGCCACTAAAGTTAATTGTGTTAATTGTTGCTAATTCTTTACAGCAACAATGAAAAACAAATACAAGCTGGAAGCAATATAATGGACCAACAATAGGGGACTATGTGACAGAAGCTGTTTTTGTAGAGGAACACACTTACGGGAAGTAGTGTAGAGTCTGAGGTTTTGAGGTGAGCAGATGTGGAGGTCTGAGTCCAGTTCTATCCTTTCTAGTGGTGTGATCATAAGCAAGTGACTTATCCTCTTTGAGCCTCAATTTCTTCATCTATAAAATGGGGATACCCACCTCATAGTCTTGTGAGGGCTAAACTGTGCCTGGTACACAGTAGGCACTCACTCAGTAGTAACGTCTATTACCATTATCATAGAAAAAAAATCTGAAAGGACCTAAAGCAATAGGAATAAGAGAAAAGTAATAAAAGGTGCGTTATAACAATTAAAGAATCTGGAAATGTTCAGAGTTTTATAAAGGTCTAATTCATTCTCAAACAATGAGCTACAGTCTCTTTGTAGCTCTGCCTCTTGGGTAATTTTTTTTATTACTTTTACTACTTTTATTTTTACAAGTTACTTGCAATTAAATGTTTTATCTTGCCAGTTCTTTTAAAAAAATTTTCAAAGTGTACAACATTTGTACTGTCTTCCGTTAAATTGCTTTTGCCCACGTGGTTTGCTCCCAAGGTTTTGAGGTGGTAGGGACTCTGAGTGAGGGCAGAAGGCACACAGGGAAAGAAAAAGGGAGCTTGGCCTCCTGCAGTCTGGAGGGACAGCCTGGGGCATCTGGGGACAGAGAGCAAGCACCCTTTCATCTGATACTTAACGCTGGGAGGAAAAAAGCAAGGTTAAACTGTGACTTTAAGCAAATCATGTTTACTTAAGTAATTCATTGTGGGTATTTTTTGAAAATGGCTTAAAACTATGTCTCTACTTAGTCATGCAGATATTAGCAGGTAAGGAGAACTTTATTTTTAATATTAATTCAACAGACATATTGAGCATCCACCATCGGCCAGGCAGATCAAAGAATGGATCTGGGAGGGAAGTAGTGAGTGGATGAAGAGAAACACAAAAGTGAGTAAATCAAGCTAACCAGTTTCCATAAGCCTATTATCTACTTTCACATTTTTCCATATTTACCTTATATCTCTATTTCTCTTTTTATTTTCAAAATAATTTGAAAGTAATTTTCAGACATCATGATTCTTCATCCCTATATATTTCAACGGAAATCTCTGCTATGGATTGAATTGTGTCCCCCTCAAATTCACACGTTGAAGCCCTAACCCCAAATGTGATATTTGGACATGGGGCACTTGGGGGTAATTAGGTTTAGATGAGGTCACAAGGGTGGAGCCCTCACAATGGGATTAGTGCCCTTGTAAGAAGAGATACCAGAGAGCTTTTGTGCTCTTTCTCTCTCTGTTGTGTGAGGACACAGTAAAAAGGCAAAGCTGTCTGCAAGCTGAGACTACAGCTTTCAGGAAGAGGGCCCTCACCCAAGTTCAACTATGCTGGCACCCTGACTTAGGACCTCCAGTTCCTAGAACTGTGAGAAATAAATGTATGTTGTTTAAGCCACTCAGTCTATGGTATTTTGTTATCACAGCCCAAGTAGAGTAAGATGATTGCCTAAGAGTAAGAACATATTCCTTTATTACCATCTGCTATTATTACTAAGAAAGTTAAACATAATTCTATAAAATCATCTAATATCATCTATATTCTAATGTCCCAAAAATGGGTTTTATACCTATTTTAATCTACTCTGATTTTATTGTTGTTGTTTTACTTACCTGGAATAAAACTGACCTTTGATCGCTGTTGCCAATGGCATGTCTGTGCACCATATAGCATTTGCTTGCATTGCAGAGTCCTGTTTAAAAGAAAATCACCAGGCTCTGCCAAGCTTGACCTCTACCTTCCTGTTAAATAACATCAAATACCATGTCTTGAAAAAGCTGGACCCTTTCACCTCCCCTTTCTAACTGTACCTGGGAGGAGCTTAGGCTCTCTTCTTATGGACCAACTGATGTTCACTCAGGTAGGATGAAATGGGGTGCAAGAAATTAGGTTCTTCAGCCCCTTCTGCAGCTGCCAATTTTGAAATGATATCATTTGATTTGGAAAATATTAAGTGTCCACCATGTGCAGGGGCCTTTCACATGAATTATCTTACATGTTAAATACTCACAGAAACTCTGCAGAATATAGTGGGACCATAACTCCTTTTAGGGCTCTGGGTATACAAGAAATGTTATTATTCTTTATTTCCTTTAAGTCAACTTTGGACTCTTTGAGTTCTTGTTTTACCATGATTTTTTTTTTTTTTTTTTTTTTTTTAGCATTCTGCTTCAGTTGTTATTGGGGTCCCCCTTCCTGTCTTCCTTCCTCCTTCCCTTTCTTTTATCCACCTACTTCCCTTAATCCCCTCTATCCCCTTTCATTCCCCTTCCATTCTGCTCTTCCCCACCTCTTCATAAGTCCCTTCTGACTCCCTCTTCCCTCTGCTCTTCCTCCTCCCACCTTCCTTTTCTCTCTGCCTTCTTAACCACACAGAGCTCCCTGTGGGTGGGGCTGTGGTCCATACTAATAACAGTAAATTCCCATTTATCGAGTGCTCACTGCATGCCAGGTGCATGGATGAGTCTAATTAGTCCTCACAGCAACCCTGTGAGAAAAGTTGATTGGTTATGATGCTTTAGGCTGCAAGTAACAAAACCCAACTAACAGTGGCCTGAATCACAAGACATCTATCCTTTACTTAACATGATGGAGGAGGAGGATGCTGGCCTTATTTCAGCTGCCCAGTGGCGGCATCAAGGCCTCCAGCCTTCTGCTCTCTTCTTCTCCACTGGGCTTATTCCTGAGCATCTGCAGTATGGCAACTGAGCCCCACATCTGCACTCAAAGGCAGGAGGCAGAGTAGAGGCTATAGTTGTGCGAAACTTTCTTTTCCTGTTGTGAAAGGAAAATATCTCAGGCCCCCAGAATCACTAAGCTAAAGGGAAAATTCAAGCTGGGAACTGCTTAGGGCAAACCTGCCTCCCATTCTTTTCAAAGTTATTCCTCTGCTCACTGAGATAAATGCACATCTGATTACCTCCTTTGCAAAAGTGAATCAGAAACTCAAAAGAATTCAACCATTTATCTCTCACCTATCTGTGACCTGGAAACCCCCTTTCCCCTTCGAGTCTTCCTGCCTTTGCTTTGAGTTGTCCCGCCTTTCCAGACTGAACCAATGTACTTCTAACGCATATTGATTGACGTCTCATGTCTCCCTAAAATGTATAAAACCAAGCTGTGCCCCGAACACCTTGGGCACATGTTGTCAGGACTTCCTGAGGCTGTGTCACAGGTGCACATCCTCAACCTTGGCAAAATAAACTTCCTAAATTAACTGGATTTTCTGGGACCACTCTGTGCTTATCTCTCTTTAATCTTCCCCCTCTCAACTCATTGGCCTAACATGTGTTACTTGGTCACCGCTAGCCACAGGGAGACTGGGAAACTGAGTGTTGAGCTTTTTTAGCCTCTGTAGTGGTGAGAAGAGAGAAGGGATTTGGGAATTTCCTTCGGGTGGCCACTTAACACTGTCTGCCTCATAATTGGCCCTCCTTTTACAAAAGAAAAACTGAGACTCAGAAGAGTTCTTATTCGCTCCAAGGATCAAGCTGCTAAGAAGAGCTTGAATCAACATTTCTTTGACTTCAAGTTCACAAAATTTTCAATAAGCAATTCTTACTGACTGAGGGCATTCTATAAGGCACACAGCTCTCTTGCCACCCTTATATGTACATTTATTTATTCAAACATCTCTGAGTGCTTATTGTGTGCCAGGCCTGGGCTGAACACCAGGGGTCCAGAGATGGATGAGCAGGGCACAGTCCAGTGGGCTCGCTGATGCATTAACAGATGGTTCCAGTTCAGAGTGGTAAGTGCGCCAGGAGAGCTGGCGTGTGAGCACAGATGAAGGGTGTTAATGACTAAGCTTCCAAAACATACCTTGCCCAATGTCACCTGCTAGAGGGTGGCAGAGCAGGGACTCAGAGTGTGAGTTGTCTAATTACAAAGCTGGAACCCTGCCCCTCTTCCCTTGCACCTTCTGCCATCCACAACAGCCAGTGGAGGGAGCAACAGTGACACCCAAGCAGGCATGGACCCCAGCTCTATGTAGGTGGCTTCTGAATGATGATGGTTCTCTTCACAGCATTCCCCAGAAGTGATGGCATGAGCTTAAAGAAAACAAAAGCAGCGCTATCTCCAGAATAATCCCCCTGCAAGCCTGTTCAAAGTGTTTTTTTTCTTAAAAACAAAACAAAACAAAACAAAACTGTTTGGTCACATCTAAGCTGGTCTCAGCAGAGTGAAGCTAGCCATCTAGATCTTCATGTCCTAGCTACTTACTTTTCTTCAATGGTGGCATTTTCCCCCTTAACTAAGGTCACTCAGTTCCCCACTTGGCTTTACCTGTGGTTGGTTGTAGGCTGTAAGTGAAAGGAAATGCCAACTTCTCACAACTTGGAGAAAAACTCAGCCCAGTCATGGCTTTTCCTCCCACTGTAGAAGCTGAAAATGCCAGACACATCCCGATCTCCCTTGCACCAAGCAGAGCCGTGGCCTGGGCTCAGCCAATCAGACTCATCGCTCCTGAGCTGAATTACAAGCGAATGAAGTGGAGAAGGAGGGACCCTGCAGGATCCATTCTAGCAAGGGCGTTGGCAGCCACAGCAGCCACAACAGTTTCCCCGAGGCGGCAGATCTGGTGGCTGCATCTGAATGGAACAGCAGAGGGCTGGCATTGTAAACTATGAGCTGCAGGTCCACAGCAGCAACAGCGGAGTCTGCACAGGGCCGGTTCTGAGCCTGCTTTCCAACATCATCCCAGCTGTATGGCCTCCAAGGCTGGTTTTAGGCTCTCTCATATACTCTGTGTGCTATCCAATATCCTACAATAAATTCCTTTCTGGTGTAAATCAGGAAAAATTAGTTTGTTGCTTGCAAACTAAGCACCCTGGCTGTTATATGCACAACTTCTGGAAGGGCACACAGACACAATCCATTACTAAAATGACTAGTCTTATTGAAAGCTTTCTACTGAGCACAAAAGATGCTGCAAACTTTTTTTTTTTTTGAACTGGACTTTTGATTTCAGAATAGTTTTAGACATAGAGAAGAAGTGCAGAGTAGTTCAAAGGGTTCTCATATATTCCATAGCCAGTTTCCCATATTCTTAACATCTTATGTTAGTAAGGTACAGTGGTTACAGTTCATAAGCCATTACTGATACATTAATACTAACTAAAGTCCAAACATTATTCAGATTTCCTTAATTTTTACCCATTTCATCTAATGTCATTTTTCTGTTCCAGGATCCTATACAGAATACCAAATTACATGTAGTTGTCAGTTCTCCTTAGCCTCCTCTTGGCTGTGACAATTTCTCAGGCTTTATTTTTGGTTTTGAGGAGGACTGGTCAGGTATTTTGTAGCATGCCCCTCTACTGGCATGTGTCTAATGTTTTCCTCATGATTAGATTGGGGTTATGGGTTTTGAGGAAGAAGACCACGGAGGTGAAGTGCCATTCTCGCTACATCAGATCAAGGGCACATCCTATCAACATGACATAAGACATTGACCTCAATCACTTGGTTGAGGTAGCGGATGTCAGGTTTCTTGGCTGTGAAGTTACTCTTTTTCCCCCTTTTCATACTGTACTCTTTGGAAGGAAGGAACTATACACATCCTAAAATTACAGTAGGGAATTACGCTCTACATCCTTGAGAGTGGGGTACCTACATAAGCTATCTGGAATTCTGCAAGGGAGATTTATTCCAAACCAATATAAATAAGTGAGTGAATAAATAAGTGAGAGATCTATTCTATTTTCTCCTGCTTATTTATTCACTCGTTTATTTATATCAGCGTGACACCATGGATATTTATTTTGCACTTTGGGTTACACTCTAGTACTACTTTATTTTGGTGCTCTTGGCTTTGGGAGGCCAAGGCAGGCGGATCACCTGAGGTCAGGAGTTTGAGACCAGCCTGGACAACTTGGTGAAATCCTGTCTCTACTAAAAATACAAAAAATTAGCTGGGCATGGTGGTGGGTGCCTGTGATCCCAGCTACTGAGGAGGCTGAGGCAGGAGACTCACTTGAACCCGGGAGGCATGGGATGCAGTGAGCTGAGATCCCGCCATTGCACTCCAGCCTGGGCAACAAGAGCAAAACTCCATCTCAAAACACACACACACACACACAAACAAGCAAACAAAAGAAACCAAGATCTAGGTGCTAGGCATGGGTGTTGCTACTAGGGTGTCATTGCCCCTGGAGTGTCATTGCTTCTAGGCCCTCTCAGCTGACAGAGCAAGGAAATATATGTGTGTACACTAACCGGTGCATATCCATATATCCATAAATATTTCTTTGTGTAGCCATCTGGATCTATATTAAGTTTCACATGAGTGCTTGCTGATGTCTTCAACTCTGCTCTATTACTACATCGATCAGTGTAGCCTTCTCCCCTTGCTTACCTGTAACCTCTCACTCCAACTGTGAGAAACCTGGCTTCTACCATCTGCTACCTATTTACTTCATTGTTTAATTCCAGTATACGTAAGTGCTGGTTTCAGAATTGTTAGCCCATACCCCCATGGGAAACGGCTTTGTCACTAGACTACAGTGCTTATGTGCCGTTCCCTTGGCCTTTCTCTTGGCCAGGCCTCGCTCATTTCTAAAGTTATACTTAGTTCAGTACCTTTTTCTCTCACCCATTTCCGTAAGCTTGTTTCAAACATTTGTACAAACTTTCCTTTTTTCCCTGTTAGGCGGATTTTCAGTCCAGCCTCAGACTGGAACCCCTTCCTTTTCCTGACTTCCTCTTTTTCACCCTTAGCTCTTCATCCTGAAACTGTGGTTTCATCCTGTTAGTCCTTCACCTGGGGTAGGCCAAGGAACATGTTTGGTCTCTATCCTGAAGGAGCAAAGATGTGTTCCCACAACCCGGGGAAGCATCTCATAGACCTCTGGGGGAGCAGATTGTCCAGAACAGAGAACCCATGAAACAAGAAAACCTTTCTTTCTCTTTCTGTTATTCGTGGCCTCTCATAGCATTACTTAGGTGTGTTATTAGGATAATTTAAGCCCCATCCACAGACATACGCGTGGAAAGGAAGAAAGGTGTTGAATGGAGACAGAGACCCCCACCCTGCCACATGGGGGACTGTGAGGACTGACTGCAAGGCAGGGTGAGACTCAGCCATGCCACGGCCATGCCACAGTACTACAGAGCATAGCTTTTCCAAGATCCAATCATTCATGATCGCAAGATTTCATTTGCCTTGAAACATTAAGTTCTTCAACTTTCTCTATTATTATTATTGTTGTTTTTAAATCAGAATATTAGAATACTTTGAAAAATCACCCAGTGCGCCCTGAAAGGTATTCTAAATACCATTCTCAATAATCCCTGTGGCTCTTATCGTGGGGAATCTGAAGTTTGAAGTGACATCTCTCATCAATTCTGCCCCTGGGGATAAAGTGGGAGACTGACAGCTGATCACTTCTTGCCTTTGATAAGCCTTTCTTATTCTAATTACACCTTTCCTTAAAGTAACTTTTCCAGCTTCCCACCCTCACCCTGCCCCTTATATCCCTGTTTAAAAGGAGCGTATTCAGATAGCTTGTGAATAATGATGCCTCAGGATGGTTTAATGGGGAAAAAGGAAACCTGTAGAGAGCCTTATCTTGAGTGAGTGTCTCAAGCATCCAAGATTATCTCCCTGTCACCCTGTGACCCATCTTCTTCATGCCACCTTTTAATTTTGGTAGCAATTACAGTGTATATGGATAATGCCCATTAGCATATTCATGGTCATCTCTTCATATTTATTGTCCGCACAACTCATTAATCTTCATCTACTTTGTGTGCTTGACAGCTCAATCTATTTTGCAATCTCTGGGAAGCAGCCATGGCCCCCCAAAGCCTTTGTTTTCCTGTAAATAAACTGTGTTGGGGACCAGGGGACAATGATGCATCCTGTGGTGATTGACACCAGCCACGGCTACTAATCAGGATGGGACTTCATTGCCAGCTGAGTCGAGTGCATTATGGGGCCATTGTTCCAATGCTGCCAGGGCAAGAACACACACAGCCAGTCACCTTCACAAGATGGGTTGATTGTTCTTCAAGATTAGACCGAGTTGCCTTATTATCCATCCCAGACAACAAGGCATCTCACCCAAACAGACGCATTTGCAGGAACAGCCAGCACACCGGCCAGATTTGAATTGCTAATGTATAATCTGCCCGGCACAGATGTGCAATGAATATTTGGATGTTGTTTTGCCCGTCAGTTGAGGAGGATGAATTGATGAGGTGATGAGTATTCAATGATGGGTCCTGGATGTTGGCCAACAGCAGAGGTTGAGCACTTGCATGGATGATCATCAGATTACCCCCCAAAGTGCCTGTGCCATAATTCAGCAGCAAATTCTAGGACAGTCTAGCAGAGTGTACTTCTGGTTGGTGGAAAGTTCCCTTTCTTTTCTGGTACAATTAGATGTTTCGCTGTGTTTTTCAGGCTTAGGAAAGATATAGAAGTTGCCTTTATTGCCCTTCCCTGCCAACTCTTAAGGATATGAATAATGGTTCAGGAGCTAACTACTTGGGTTTCAATTTAGCTTCAGCATTTTCTAGCTCATTTTCTTAAGTTATTTGTGCCTCTGTTTCCTCATTTGTTAAAACAGATTGAAAAATTCTACCACCCATCTAGAACTATTGTGAGGATTAAATCAGATAATGTACACAGACTAAGTGCTAGAACAGTGCCTAGTGCATAGTACATGCTGAAAAGATGTTACCTGTTACTGTATTGTTGGTCATTTGCTTTCTCTCAGTATTACTGTGGTCAAGTAGCTTGGATACACTGGAAATAAAATTAATCCATTTTCATTACCTCAGGAGAGCTCATGGCCTATAGTATGCTACTTTCCCTGGTACATTTCTGATAGAAAATGTACCTTTCCTATAGGAATGGAAGTTTTCCTATAGTTATATAACCATGGAGCCCTTTTTCCTGAAGCATTTTTTACAGCTTATTTTCCTTGGAACATATTATAGGAAAAGCAGCTCTAGAAGGTAAACATTTACAAAGTTTTGAAAGAAAAACATGTGACTCAAGAATTTTATATATAATCAAGCTATTTATATGCAAGACAATGGGAATTATACAAATGCATATATTCTCTCTGAAAAAATGTTATTCAAAGATGTGTTCCATAGAAAGGGAACAATGAATCTAAGGTAGAAACCAGTGAGACCAGTTGATTGTACTGAAGTAAGTCCAAACAACTGCGGCAAATATATTATCAAACTTGAAATAAAAAAATTAAAATATTTGAAAGAAATTATTTATATTGAAATAATGGGATAATGAAATACATCAATGAATAGCAGAAGAATGAAGAAAATCAGAAGGGAAAGCAAGTGTCCTTTTTAAGAAAAAAAAGGATGGTACAAAGAATATATACACATATACACATATATATTATGTATATATGTATTACACTTGTGTGTGTAGATACATACAGTGTACACATATACAGGTGTGTATATATGTGTGTGTACATATATACAGGTCTGTATATATGTGTATATATATGTGTGTGTGAGTATATATGTGTGTATATATATGTGTGTGTGTATATACACACACAGGTGTAATAAGAGCAACCTCAGTAATCTTTAATAAAATATTAAAAACCAATACTATAAGAAAAAACACTAAATCTAAGATTTCTCTATTTATTAGACAAACCAAAAAATATTCAAAATTAAAATATGGGTAAAATATGATTATTTAACGTGAACAAAGAGAAAGTCAGGTCTGAGGATATTAGTATTGAACAATGCAGAATTATGTAAGTCAAAGAGTATTAAACTGCTAATTTCATTTCTTTATCTTCAGTGCTATGCACAGGGTAGGTCCTAAATATATATGAGTAAGATTTATTGTGGAAGTAGAAGCAACGAGTGAAAGGTATGTGAGAAGGCATGATTTGCCTGCAAGGACCTCTTGAGGGTAAGTTTAAAAATAAATTTATTGACACACAATATTTGTACATATTGACAGTGTAACATGACATTTTGTTGCATGCATACAATGTGTAATGATCAAGTCAGGGTATTTGGGGTATTCACCATCTTGAGTATTTACCATTTCTTGGTGTTGGGAACATTTCAGGTTATCTTCTAGCTAATTTGAAATATACAATACATTGTTGTTAACTATAATCACCCTACTCTGCTATTGAACATTAGAACTTATTTCTTCAATCTAACTGTATATTTGTATCCATTAACCAACCTCTCTTCAACCCTCCGACCCCCTCCCAGCCTCTGGTAACTATTTTTCTACTTTATCTCCATGAGATCAATTTTCTTTTCTTTTCTTTTCTTTTTTTTTTTTTTGAGACCGAGTCTCGCTCTGTTGCCCAGGCTGGAGTGCAATGGCAGGATCTCGGCTCACTGCAACCTCCGCCTCCTGGGTTCAAGCGATTCTCTTGCCTCAGCCTCCTGAGCAGCTGGGATTATAGGCACCCGCCACCACGCCCGGCTAATTTTTTTGTATTTTTAGTAGAGACGGGGTTTCACCATGTTGGACAGGCTGGTCTCAAACTCGTGACCTCAGGTGATCCACCCACCTCGACCGCCCAAAGTGCTGTGATTACAGGTGTGAGCCAGCCCACCCAGCTGAGATCAACTTTTTTAGTGCCCACATATAAGTGAGAACGTATTTGTCTGTCTATGCCTGGCTTATTTCACCTAACATAATGACTTCCAGTTCCATCCATGTTGCTGCAAATGACAGGACTTCATGCTTTTTTATGGCTGAATAGTATGTCATTTTGAATATATACACCACATTTTCTTCATCCATTCATCTGTTAATGGACATGTTTCAAAGACTTCATATCTTTGCTATTATGGATAGTTCTGCAATAAACAAGGGGGTGCATGTATTCCTTTGACATACTGAGTTCCTTTCCTTTATTTATTTATTTATTTTTGGGGGGACAGAGTCTTGATCTGTTGCCCAGGCTGGAGTGCAGTTGAGCCATCTTGGCTCACTGCAACCTCCACCTCCTGGGTTCAAGTGATTCTCCTGTCTCAGCCTCCGGAGTAGCTGGGACTATAGGTGCATGCCACCAAGCCCAGCTAACTTTTTTATTTTTAGTTGAGACGGGGTTTCACCATGTTGGTCAGGCTGGTCTCGAACTCCTGACCTCAGGTGATCCACCGGCCTCAGCCTCCCAAAGTGCTGGGATTACAGGCATGAGCCACTGAGCCTGGCCCAGATTTCCTTTCCTTTGGATAAATAGCCAGTAGTGGGATTGCTGGATTGTATGGTATCTCTATTTTTATTTTTATTATTATTTTAAAAAATCTCCATACTGTTTTCCATAATACTTGTACTAATTTATATTCCCACCAACAGTGTATGAGTTCCCTTACTCTGCATCCTCGCCGGCATCTACTTTTTTTTCTTTCTTTTTCTGTTTTTTTTTGTTTGTTTGTTTTGTTTTTTGAGATGGAGTCTTGCTCTCGTTGCCCCGGCTGGAGTGCAATGGCAGGATCTCGGCTCACTGCAACCTCTGCCTCTTCAGTTCAAGTGATTCTCCTGCTTTGGCTTACCGAGTAGCTGGGATTACAGGTGCCTGCCACCATGCCTGGATAATTTTTGTATTTTTGGTAGAGATAGGGTTTCGCCATGTTGGCCAGGCTGGTCTTGAACTCCTGACCTGGTGATCCACCTGCCTCGGCCTCAAAAAGTGCTGGGATTACAGGTGTGAGCCACCACGCCTGGCCAATTTTTTTTTTCTTTTTGTCTTTTTAGTAACAGTCATTCTAAATGAGGTAAAATGTTGAAGTGCTCAACATCACTAATGAGCTATGATTAGTGATATTGAGCGTATTTTTATATACCTGTTGGCTATTTGTATGTCTTTTGGGAAATGTCGGATTTTTTTTTTTTTTTTTTTACTGTTGAGTTGTTTGAGTTCCTTGTATATTCTGGATATTAGTCCCTTGTCAGATGAGTAGTTTCCAAATATGTTCCCCTATTTTAACAGGTTGTCTCTTCATTCTGTTGTTTTCGTTGCTGTGCAGAAGCTTTTTAGTTTAATATAGTCCCATTTGTCTGTTTTTTGTTGTTGTTGTTGCCTACTCTTTTGATATCTTAGCTATAAAATCTTTGCCTAGACCAATGTCCTCAAGTGTTTCCCCTATGTTTTCTTCCAGTAGTTTCACAGTCTCAAGTTTTAGATTTAAGTCTTTAATCAATTTTCAGTGGATTTTGTATATGGTGAGACACAGGAGTCTAGTTTCATCCTTCTGAATAGGAATATCGAGTTTTCACAGCACCATTTATTGAAGGGGGCGTCCTTTTCCCAATGTATGTTCTTTGTGCCTTTGTCAAAAATCAATTTGCTGTAAGTATGTGGATTTATTTCTTGGTTCTCTATTCTGTTCCACTAATCTATGTGTCTGTTTTTAATACCAATACTCAGCTGTTTTGGTTACTATAGCCCTATAATGTATTGCATTGGGGGTTGCACTGTAAGGAACTGCATTACATGTGTTGATTGCTTTGAGTAGTGTGGTCATTTCAGCAATATTAATTCTTCCAATCTATGAGCATGGAACATCTTTCCATTTGTTTGTGTCCTCTTCAATTTATTTCATCAGTGTTTTGCTGGATACATTTATTCTTAGGTATTTTATATATTTTTGGTAGCTATTGTAAATGGGATTGGATTCTTGATTTCTTTTTCTGCTAGTTCACTATGGGTATATAGAAAAACTACTGATTTTCTATGTTGATTTTACATCCTGAAAATTTACTGATTTTGTTTATCAGATCTGAGGGTTTTTTTTTTTTTTTTTGGTGGAGTCTAGGTTTTTCTACATATAAGATCACATCGTCTGCAAAGAAAAACAGGCCAGGCACAGTGGCTCACATCTGTAATCTCAGCACTTTGGGAGGCTGAGGGAGGACTGCTTGGGTCCAGGAGTTCGAGACCAGCCTGGGCAACATTGGGAGATCCCATCTCTACAAATTTTTTTTTAAATTCAAAAAAAAAAGAAAACAAAGAGGGATAATTTGACTACCTCTTTTCCAATTTGGATGCCTTTTATTTCTTTCCCTTGCCTAGACTGCTCTCATTAGGACTTCCACTGCTATGTTGAATAGAAGTGGTGAAAATGAGCATCATTGTCTTGATCCAGTTCTTAGAGGAAAGGCTTTTAGCTTTTCCTCATTTGGTATGATGATGTCAGTTCTGAGTTTGTCATATATGGGCTTTATTATGTTGAGGTATGTTCCTTCTGCACCTAGTTTGTTGTTTTTTTCATGAGGGGTGATTAATTTTACTAAACGCTTTTTCCGCAACTATTGAGATGACCTTATGGCTTTTGTCCTTCATTCTGTTTATGTCAGGGGTCCCCAGACCCTGGGCCACAGACTGGTACCCTCCTGGAACAGCAGGAGATGAGCCAGTGAGGGAGCATTACCACCTGAGCTCCACCTCCTGTCAGATCAGAGGCAGCATTAGATTCTCACAGGAGTCAGAACCCCATTGTGAACTGTGCATGTGTGGGATCTAGGTTGTGCACTCCTTATGAGAATCTAATGCCTGCTGATCTGAGGTGAAACAGCTTCATCCTGAAACTACCCCCGACCCCCCACATACGATCCATACAAAAAACGTCTTCCACGAAACCAGTCCCTGGTGCCAAAAAGGTTGGGACCACTGGTTTACGTGATATATGATGTTTACTGATTTGCGTATATTGAACCATTCTTGTATCCCCGGGATACATTCCACTTGATCATGGTGGATTATCTTTTTGAAGTGCTTCTGAATATGGTTTACTAGTATTTTGTAAATGTACAAACTATTATGTGTCTATTTCATGAGGGATATTGGCCTGTAGTTTTCTTCGTTTGTTGCGTCCTTGTCCAGTTTTGGTATCAGCATAACACTGGCCTCATAGAATGAGTTAGGGAGAATTACCTCCACTTCAGTTTTTTGGAATAGCTTCAGGGGAATTATGTTAGTTCTTCTTTATAAGTTTGGTAGAATCCAACAGTGAAGCCACTTGGTCCTGGGCTTTTCTTTGTTGGAAGACTTTTTATTACTGATTCAATCTTGTTACTTGGTCTGTTCAGGGTTTTTCTTTCTTCCTGATTCAATCTTGATAGGTTTACGTGTCTAGGAATTTATCCATTTCCTCTAGGTTTTCAAGTTTGTCAGTGTATAGCTGTTCATAACAGTCTCTAATGTTCTTTTTTATTTCCGTGTTATCAGTTGCAATGTCTCCTTTTCATTTCTGATTTTGTCTATTTGGCTCTTCTCTCTTTTTTTTTTCTTGGTTAGTCTAGCTAGTGGCTTATCAGTTTTATCTTTTTAAAAACACCCAACGTTTCATTAATCCTTTGTATTGTATTTTTGGTCTCTATTTCATTTAATTTTGTTCTGATATTTATTATTTCTTCTACTAATTTTGGGTTTGGTTTGTTCTTGTTTTTCTAGTTTTTTAAGGTGCATTATTAGATCGTTTATCTGAAATCTTTCTACTTTTTTGATGTAGGTATTTATTGCTATAAACTTCCCTCTTAGTACTACTTTTGCTGTATCCCATAGGGTTTGGTATGTTGTGTTTTCATTTTCATTTGTTTCAAGAATTTTAAAAAATTTCCTTCTTAAGTTTTTCATTGACCCAGTGGGTGTTCAGAAGCATGTTTAATTTCCATGTATTTGTACAGTTTTCAAAGTACCTCTTGTAACTGATTTCTAGTTTTATTCCATTGTGGTCTGAGAAGAACTTAATATAATTTCAATTTGTAGAAATTTGTTGAGACTTGTTTTGCCTAATATATTATATATCCTGGAAAATGTTCTGTGTGCTGATGAGAATAATGTGTATTGTGGAGCTGCTGGAGAAAATGTTCTGTAAATGAGTGTTAGGTCCATTTTGTCTAAAGCACAGTTTAAATACATTATTTCTTTGTTAATTTTCCATTGATATGATCTGTCTAATGTTGAGAGTGGGGTGTTTAAGTCCCTCACTATTATTTCATTGGCATCTATCTCTCCCTTTAGATCGAATGAATTTGCTGAATGTACCTGGGTGCTCCAGTATTGAGTGCATGTACATTTAGAATTGCTGTATCCTCTTGCTTAATTGATCCTTTTACCATTACATAATACACTCTTTGTCTCTTTTTCCTGTTTTGACTTTTTTTTCCTAAGCCCTTTAATATTCACTTAAATAGTTGAGGCATAAACAATAATAAAACTACCTTTTTTATGTTACAAGAAGACTTTGTATGATATCTACATGATATACCAATTTTCTCATAATCTCTTTGGCAATAACATTTCATTAACACTCTAGTCCACAGGCTGATTCAACAGGGTCAGAAAGGCAGGCAGGAATATGTTAAAAATAAACTTATTGAGGGGTAAGAGGAATCCAAACATTTACTGACTATTATGCTCACTACTAGGTTTTACATAGTTAACATAAATTAAATGTGAATGTAAGTTCTAGTTATCTGTTAACAGAACAGCATTGCTACAGCTAGGTTAATTCTAAACTTTAAATGTTCTTTCACTTTAAGGACAAATCGTGGAACCAAACAATATGTCTTTGCCTCAAAATGCATGTCAATGTGCACTAATATATATTTTCCATTTCCAAAGTTTTTTTCACAAGTGTGCAACATTAGCACATGAAAACATTCAAGCTCTTGGCCGGGTGCGGTGGCTCACGCCTGTAATCCCAGCACTTTGGGAGGCCGAGGCGGGCGGATCACGAGGTCAGGAGATCACAACCATCCTGGCTAACATGGTGAAACCCCGTCTCTACTAAAAATACAAAAAAAAAAAAAATTAGCCAGGTGTGGTGGCAGGCGCCTGTAGTCCCAGCTACTGGGGAGGCTGAGGCAGGAGAATGGCATGAACCCAGGAGGTGGAGCTTGCAGTGAGCCAAGACTGTGCCACTGCACTCCAGCCTGGACAACAGAGCGAGACTCTGTCTCAAAAGAAAGAAAAAACATTCAAGCTGTTATTACTTCACTTGAACCTGGGTTTACATTCTCACCTGCCAAGCACTATTTGGCCAGCATCACCACAACTACCTGGATATATCACCCTGTTTTTGACTTGAAATCTATTTTATATGACACAAATGCAGCTACTTTTGCCTGTTGTACTTTCCATTAGAATGGAATATCTTTTTCCATCCCTTTACTTTTAGTCTGCATGTCTTTTACAGGTGAAGTGAATTTCTTATAGGTAGCATATAGTTGGGTCATTAAAAAAAAAAAAAAAACCCGTTCCGTCAGTTTTTTCCACTCTTAAGTGAAAAATTTCATCTGTTTACATTCAAGAGTGTTATTGATATGTGAGGACTTACTTCTGTCATTTTGTTAACTGTTTTCTTGTTGTTCTATATAATTTTTGTTCCTATCTTTCTTTCTTTCTTGTTTATCATTGCAGTTTGGTGATTTTCCGTAGTGATAACATTTGAGTCCCTTCTCTTCCTCGTTTGTTTGCTTTACCAATGAGTTTGATAGTTTTGTGTTTTTTCATGATAGTAGATAATCACCCTTTTGCTTCCAGGTGTAGAACTCCCTTAGGCACTTCTTGTAGGGCTGGTCTAGTTTTTGCTTGTCTGGGAAAGACTTTGTTTCTCCTTCATTTATGAAGGACAGCTTCGCTTGGTAGAGTAGTCTTGGCTGCCAGTTTTCTTTTCTTTCTTTCAGCCCTTTGAATGTATCATCCCATTTTTTCCTGGCCTGTAGGGTTTCTGCTGAAAAATTGGCTGTCTGATGGGGGTTCCTTTATATGTGACTTTTCTCTGGCTGTTTTTAGAATTCTCTCTTTGTCATTGACTTTTGACAGCTTGACTAGAATGTGCTGTGGAGAAAACTTGTGGAGTTACATCTATTTGAGGATCTCTGAGCTTCCTGTATCCTGTATCTGGATGTACACTTGGTACACTTGGGAAGTTTTCAACTTTTATTTCATTAAATAGGTTTTCTATAACTTTGGTCTTCTCTTCATCTTCTGGAACACCCACAGTTCAGATATTTGCTCACTTTTTTCTTCTTTTTTCATACTTCTCCTTTTCTGTTGCTTTTCTGTCTCCCTTCCCCTTCCCCTTTCTTTCTCTCTCTCTCTCTCTTTTTTTTTTCTGGCTTGTTTCAAAAGACCTGTCTTCAAGTTCTGAAATTCTTTCTTCTGCTTGATCTAGTCTACTGTTGAAGCTCTCAAGTGTATTCTTTTAAATTTCATTCCTTAAATTCTTTAGTTCCTGGATTTCTCTTTGGTTTCTTTTTTAAGCTATCTATATCTCTGGTGAATTTCTTATTCATATCCTGAATTTTTAAAATTTCACTGTATTGTTAATCTCAATACAATTAAGTAATTGTTAATGTGTTCTCTTGTATCTCACTGAGCTTCATTCATATTATTATTTTGAATTCTTTTTTCAGCATTTTATAAATTTGTTTTTCATTGGAATCTATTACTGGAAAATTACTGGTTTTTTCTGGAGGTGTCATACGTCCTTGCTTTTTCTTGTTTCTTGTGTCCTTACTTTGACATCTGTGCATCTATTTTAACAGTAACTTCTTCCATTTTTTTGGATTGGTTTTGATAGGGAGAGACTCTTTCCTAAAGATGTATCTATGGTGTTGGGTAGAGCACTTTAGCTTTGCTTCTGGGTGCATGCAGTAGTGTAGTCTCCATATGATTTCTTCTAGTGTAAAAAGCATTGGTGGTGTCTGTGATTTCCTCAGTGACTTAGGCTGTAGTTGTTAGTGGAGGCTGTGGTGAGGTTTTACTGAGGATGGGGATGCCAGGTTATCAGTCCTTATGCCCCAGTTGCGAGCCAAGTGTGTCTTTCCGTGGGCCTCCAGATGTATGTGAACACCAGCATTGGGGGTCCAAACGTGCCGATTCTTGGACCGCCAGGAGTCCCTTGCTATAGTGCTGGCAGTGACAGTGGTAGGCTGGGTGTGTGGCTGAGTCTATGAACCCCTGGATAATGTATGTGGCATAGGCAATGGCAGTAGCAGTGGTGACACAACACTTGGACTCTGAAACAGCATATGTTGGTGTTAGCGGTGGCTGCAACAGGCTTGGGAGGTGGTGCATGTGGGGGTGGGAGAGCCGCTGAGGTAGTAGGGGAGCTGCTGAGGTAGTAGGGGACGGCTGGGTAGACCCATCCATAGGTGCCTGGGAGGAGTCCACAGATGCCAGTGGTGGTGAATGAGGCAGGGCAATCCCCATACCCCCAGGTAGTGTGCTTGAGCATGGCAGGTGGGGGTTGTACCAGGCCAGGCAGGCCTGTCTTCAGGCCTCCTGGTGGTGTCCTCAGGTGCTGGCTGTGTTGGGCAGGGCAGGGTGCTCCCCAGACCCCTGGTGGAATGTTCTGGTGGCTGCAGCAGCAGCAATGGTTGGGGGAGCCTGTCCTTAGGGCACATGCAACTATGTAGCAGTGGCCCTGCTGTTGGCAGGTGGAGTCACTGCCAGTGGCATATGCTTTGGTTTCCCAGTGGCAGCAGCAGTGGCTGCAGTGGACAGTGGCAGAGCCTGTCCTCAGGGCATGTGCACAGCAGCTCCTCTGCTGGGGGCAGTTGAGTTGCTGCTTGTGGTAGCTCTCCCAGGTAGGCAGTTATCAGGCCTCAGGGAACATGCATTTTTGATTCCCTTTGTCCCAGGGGTAGCTTCCCTGGTCCACTGCACCACTCATTCCCCAGGGTGTAGGACACTGTGTGTGTTAGAATGCTGGGAACCCTGGTATTCTGCTGGGTCCATTTGGTATTGTGCTCCTGTAGACCTCTGGGTGTACATGGGGGTATATCAGTAGCGCTCCAGGCATGTGGAGATGCAGGGGCCATTTTGCCCCAGGGTAGAATGCAGTCTGGTGTGGGCTGGGCTTGCAAAACGGTGCCATGCTATAGCTGCTTAGGACTCAGGGAGCACATGGGACCCAGCATGCGTTCTCCCCCTTGAGCAATGCTGTTGCGTGGTCTCTAGGCAGCTCCCTATGTTAGGTCTCTGGGCCCATGAAGATCCAGGGGCTGTCCCATGGCTAGGGTTGCAAGTCTGTAGTGGGAATGTGGACCACTGGGGATCTCTCACTGGGGATCTCTCCCTTTCCCCACACTAGCCTCTCTGGGCACCTAGCCAATCCTGGCTGAGCCAGTTGCCTAATTTCCCTCTCCTTCCATGCCTCAACTGTTTCCTGTCACTTCTCTGTTGAATTCTAGTGTTCTCTTGGATGCTCTATTCAAATGCCTCTAGTCAGCCATTTTGAAGCCTTCCCCTAGGTCTCTTTTTCCCAGGCTTATGTCCCTAAGCTGCCTCAGCTGACCAAGTTTCTATTAAATAATAATATATTTTCTCTTGGATGATTAGGACTCATCCAGATGGTCTTACCCCTTCAAAATAATTGCAAACAAGATTAAAACTGCATTTAGGAACTATTCTAGTTGGCTTATGCCTTTCTCTGATGACTCATACCACCAACTAGGTATAAGTTTTTAAGGGATCTCTTACTTTATCTCACTTTCTTCTGGGAACAGCTTCCAATTTCTTCCTCAATATACACTCTGTTCCCTTCTCCCAGCGATATGATTTCTGCTGCTGTATGATCCTAGATCTTGGCCACAATTGATGGGTTCAAGATTAGATTGCTGACCTGAATCTGGCAACCCATAGTACCTTGCCTCTCAACCTTGCTTCACTGATTTAAGGGCAC
Source organism: Homo sapiens (assembly GCF_000001405.40). NCBI lineage: Eukaryota > Metazoa > Chordata > Mammalia > Primates > Hominidae > Homo > Homo sapiens. The sequence goes on from NC_000009.12 coordinate 99,213,304, forward strand.
CTGAACCAGGAAAGGTCCATCTTAACCCTTCTCTGTTATTTTTTCAAACTCTGCAAAAGAGAGCCAGTTCCTCTTTGGTAGTAGAAGTATTAAGGTGGAGGGCTTGGCTTCACTGGTAGCATGTTTCCTGCTACAAAAGAGAAGTTAGTCTATACCGAAAGACAATGAAGTATCATATAAAGAAATGGTGTTCTGGTGGCACTTGAATTCCTGGTTTCATTTGAACATCTAGCCTAGCTACATCCCTGTACTTCTCTTGATTCAATTCTGTAACTTTCCTTGAATTACCCAATCTATCCCAGTAGCTTCCTAAAAATCTTCCCTTTCTGCCTAAGCTAGGGTTGGGTTAAAATTTTTAAATATTTGCCCATATAACCTAACATATGATCATGTATTACTCTATTGAATTGAAGTGTTAAGTTAGGTTTCCAGGTTCTCTAACGCAAAGGAAGCATACAATTTGGCTGAAAGCAAGCTGGTTAACATGATCATTTGGTTTGAAAATAAACATCGCCAGTGATTTTTTTTGATAATTGCTTTTTTTTTTTCGTGTACCCTAAGCAGTTTTGCAATCTTTTCATGTCTTTTTCTTTAGATTTTTCATTTTTGCTTTTCAAATTTGCCTTTTAAAACTTTAAATATTTGCTTTTAGAATTTAAAGTCAGTTGTTTTTCCTCTGGACTGCTTATAGTAGAAAAAAGCTGGAGTAATCTCAGTATATAATAATAAGGATTATAAAGAACAAACTATATATCTCAAACAGGGCATTAGTTGGAAACACAAATGTCTACTATGTTGAAAACTTAGTAGACATAAATGACCAACAAGACTATTTTATAGTTCATTGCTCAAATTTCTCTTTTCTGAGGAAAAAAAATCTAACTTAGGAAATATCAGAAACCATAAACAAAAAATTTCTGGCCTGGACACTCTCATTGTGATACCAACACCAAAACTCCAGTCCTCTTGGCATAAACAGAGCTGCTGGCTCCAGCAGCCCCTTGGCTCAGGGGTCAGGATGGTAAAATTCTCCCTTCCCCTACCTCCCAAGAGCTGATGCTTTATCAAGGACAGTTTAGAAAGTGGGTCATTGGGAAGACTCCTCTCCCCTTAGCTGACAGGCATGAGAGCACTGGTGTCTGGAGGGTGACACCTTCTCAGGCTATTGGGGACAGAGTTCGAGAGGGTTAAGGTTAGGAATGGAGTAAGGGGTTCAAAGGAAGTGATAGAATATAAGTGGTTTTTGATAGAAGTAGAGGAGGGCTGCAACTGTCCCTCTGTGTGAATTCAGACAGGTCCCTTCCTCTTTCTGGGCTTGTCTTCCCATCTGTGCAATACCAAATTAGGTTAGGTGGCCTCTGGGGTCCCAGTCAGATTTGACTGGCTTTGATTCTGGGAGGTGGAAATGCAAAGGAAGGAGATCACAGGATGATTAGTGACCCTGGCAAAGGTGGACAGAGAAGGGCTGATTGTTATGATTAAAGATGGAGTGAGCAGAGTGGAGCAGTGAAGTGCTCTGGTGCTGTTTTTACTCTTTTTTTTGAGATGGAGTTTTGTTCTTGTTGCCCAGGCTAGAGTGCAATGGTGCGATCTCAGCTCACCGCAACCTCCGCCTCCCAGGTTCAAGCGATTCTCCTGCCTCAGCCTCCCAAGTAGCTGGGATTACAGGCATGCACCACCACATCCCACTATTTTTTTTGTATTTTTAGTAGAGACGGGGTTTCTCCATTTTGGTCAGGCTGGTCATGAAGCATTTGCTGAAGAGGCAACTGTAGTACAACTAAAAGAACTGTTAACCTCAAGTTGGACATACCTGGGTTTGAATTGTAGCTCCACTGCTTCCTAGCTGTAAGCCTCAGACTTTCAATCTCTAAAAATGCCTATAATTACCTGAAAGGATGCTGTGAAGAGCAAACGAGACAATCTCTAATGAGCTCTGCAAAAGCTCTAAAGGCTGTCCAAATACGTGTTCAGTAGACATTTGTCATTGGATCAAAGAACTGCACTACTACTCCCCCTTAGCTGAGTGGGTCTCTTTATGGACATGATACTCCCTCTTCTATTGGCCCATCGTGTTTTTATGTGTGTATGTATGAAGGACAAATGATATTTACGCATATCAAAGAGGAGGAGACTGAGAAATTCTGGTATGCGCAAAGTCCCGGATGGCTCAGGTAACTAAGGGCCAAATGCTGGCTCAGTTACTTTTCAATTGTGTGCCTTCAGGCAAGTCTTTCACCTCTCTGAGCTTGTGTGTAAGATGGGGGATAATCATACTCACCTCGGAAGACTGATGGGAAGAGGCAAATGGACAGTAAACAGCAAAGTCTTTCTAAACCCAAAGACCTGTACAACTACAACTGCAGTGCTGCAGAGGGAGTTGTACTGAAAAAACATTACACAAAGAATTTGGTTAGGGTGAGGGCAGACTGAAGAATAGTAAAGTGGTTGGACTTTGGAATCAGAGGGCCTTGAGATTCTGTCCATTCTTCAAGGCCATGGGACGCAGGCAACTTGCTTAACTACATTCATCTAAAAGGGAAGAATACCTACATCTCAGTGAATTGTTGAGGATTAAGCATCTGCTATGTATGTATCTCCTTTCCTGCCCTGCACAAAGTAATTACCAGAATTACTATGGATAAGGCCCCAACAATTCACCTTCAATGTTTCATGCTTCTACTTTCCCTAACTTCAGCTTAGTTTTGGAAGGTGTGAACACTTCTTAAGGGCAAAGTTCCATTCTAGGGTCCAGGAACCAGGAACTAATGGTCAGAAGCTGGAAGCTCATGGCAGGCAGGACTCCATCCCTCCCAGACCTGTGAAATCTTATTGTCACTCACTCCGGCTTAGGACAATGAAGTGAAGCTAAAATCAGGGTCCATGAACCCATGTAGTCCATTTGAAAGGATTTGCATAAAAATGGTCAAATATGCAAATGTTTAGTGCTGCTTAGTAAGGTAAGCACCATGTTGTAGGTCACAGTGTGGCCAAGTCTATCTGTGCTAAACTCCATGGTAAGAGCCACCAGGCTTCCTGGAAAGGCTGCATTTCTCAGAAACACATGAACCAAATCATACCTTCTGTACTACATGGTAAGCTTTCACAATGCCAAAGAAAATGGAATGCAACAGAACTTTTAATCCCATAAAAGACTCAATATATTTGGCACCCTCATTTTATAGTACTCCTTTTTGGTACAGAATCATTTTGCCAAAATACTCCTGTGATACAGATGCACATGATAAACTGTAAAATGGAATTTCACCCATTGAAGAGCCCCAAAAGAACAATATGGTAGTGCAGCATGAACTAACATGCAATTTCTAATTTTCAATATCCCCAAATTGCAAAATACTAATAGCTAATATATATACTATATGCCAAGTATTAAGTACTTTGTAATATTATCATAATCTGTTATAACCGCACTATGAGGAAAGTAGAATAGTACAATTATCTCACTTTGCAGATGAAGAAGCTGAGGTATAGAGATCAATTTACACAAAATCATATAGGCTGTTAGGCTCTCAAGTCTAGCTCTTAAGAGTTGATAAATGTGGAGCCTTTGGCTAGTAAGCTTTGCTACTTCTGGAAATGAATTTAGCCTTAGAAGTATGTTGAAAACTACTGTTTATGATTTGCTGTTAGACCAACAGGTAAACAGTGAACTATAAGTCAGTGTCACGAAAATATCAGTGTCATGAAAAGGCTAGAGTACATGGAGGGGGAAGATAACTTCTGGCTTGGGAGGTGGCCAGAGGGTCAAAGAAAGCTTTGCAGCAGTGGCATTTGAGCCAGGCCTTGGAAGATAAAAAACATTTGTGTCCTATACTTAGTAGGAGCTTGGTCAAGACAACACAAATATTAACAAAACTAATGACCTAGATGACATTAAGAAATATACCCTAAACAAGATGCACAACACATGTGTGACAATATTCTTGCTTCATTTCAATATCCACTTTACCCTAGTGTTCTGATTTCCAGTTTGGTTGTCATATCCATGTTCGTAACAATACCAAAATAGATTATGGAGACCAAAATCTAATACTGTTTCTTTTTTATGATAAACACCTTTTATTATATCTCAGTGTGCAAAAATACAAATTATCTTAAAAAAAATACAGAGCACTCTCGCTATGGATCCAGGCAAAGACAGGACAAACAAAAATTCCCTAACAGATGACAGTGAACACTTCGGTGGATTGAATCTGGGAACTACAATAGCCCTGCTCTCATTATACTATGAAGCCAAATTAATCAACTTTGATAATGATACACACTTAAACTATGAAAACCAATTAAGGCACAGTATCATTCAAAATTTATAGACAGAAGAGCAATAATCCCGAGAAAATATAATTAAAATACTCTGCTGAACATGGAATGACACCACATTTGTAACTTAACACTGGCAAAATTTGGAATGATTATAGCATAAAAGACATGGTTTTTCTGAAAAGTGGACAGGGAGGTGTGGTATATAGGAAAGTGGCTCACATTCAAGACTCAAGTTTATTTTTTAAAAGATCTCTTCTGCATTAGATTCTAGGTTTCTTTTTTGGTTTCAAAACTGGGTCTACAATCCATAAAAATGACATTAATGGAGATCTTAAAAACAATCTGATTATACCAGCAGTTTGGTAACATATCGGTAGAGCTGTTCTGTAAATGCTTCAGGGGAAAATTTTTCCTTCACTCTGGCTCTTCCAGCCAGGCCCATGGTGGCTTTTAAGGAAGGTTCACGGATGAACTTTTCTATTGCTTCTGAGAAGTGCACCGGGTCAGGCTCACACAGAAACCCTGTGACACTGTGGTCAATGGACTCCAAGGGTCCACCCGAATTAACAGCAATGACTGGGCACTGCATGTACATGGCTTCCAGAGGGACAATGCCAAAGTGCTCATTGCTTGGTGTGTAAAGCACACACGTGCAGCTGTGGAGGAGGGAGATTTTCTGTTTGTCTGAGAAAGACCTCAAGAAGGTCACATACTGGCCAAGGTCGGACTGTTGGACCATTTTCTTCAATTCCTGATAATGTTCCACATTCTCCAGGACTCTCTCGTCATAACCACCTGCCACGATCAGATGAACCCTCTCCCAATCTTGGGATGTCAATCTTCCACGCAGCTGTACTAGGGCTTCCAGTGCCAAAGTCAGATTTTTCTTCCTTTCGTATCTGTTGATGGAGAGCAGCAGGAATTTTTTCCCCTTGGGGACTAGGTCATCCAGCTTTTCAGGAACAACTGAGTCAAAGCTGGTGACATTTAGAGATGGATAGAGGACATCAGGGTCTATGTGAGACAGGGACTTGAATGTTTCCTTAAAAACAGCAGCTGTGAACTGGCTGTTGACTAAGATGCAGTCTGCCATGCCTGTGGTGTATTCCTCTATCCAGTCAATTGGGGCCCTGTATAGTCGTTTAAGAAAAGAATCTCTCTTGGTGAGAAGCAGATCTGGGAAGTGACAGTAAAATAGGATCTTCTTCCGCCGTCTAGCCAGCCTGAACACTGGGATACAGGCAGACACCTAGCCAAAGCAAAAATCAACAGCGGATAAAGTGGTCAACTCAACTTCAACCAAACCAAAAACACAGACACCCACCCCGTCTGGCTAGTCTGTGGGCTCCTCATGGGCAATGTCTGATTCTGTTTTATTCCCCAAGACTCTCACCCAGTACCATATGCCTGGTGTACAGAAGGCTACAGACGTTTGCTAGATGTGTGCTAAACATTTAAAGCTTCAAGTCCAGTGATTTCCTCTTGTATAGTGCTGTCTAATAGAAATCTAGTAATATTAAAAATGTTTTTAAGGGTGAAATTAATTTTAACATATTATTTACCGAAAACATTATCATTTCAAAATGTAACCAATACTAAACAGTATTAATGAGATACTTTATATATACATATATTTCACATTACATCTTCAAAATCGGTTTGTATTTTAACTTTAGCACATCTCAGTTTAGACTAGCCACATTTCAAGTGCTCAACAGCCACATGTGGCTAGTGGCTACCATACTGAACAGTGCCGCTCTAGGATCTTTCTCCTTCTAAGGAACTGAATGAATGAACTATAGTAGTTTAGAGCACAAGCTCTAGATTCAAGACTGCCAGGGTTTGAATCTCAGCTCTACTAACTGGCCACGATCAAGTAATTTATCCCACTCTGGGCCTTAGTTTCCTCTTCTGTAACATGGTGACAAATTATAGTTCAAAAAACCCATATACTTTTTGTGATTATTAAATGCACTGATATATGCAAAACACATGGAGTTTAGCACACAGTATGTGCTCAATAAATATTAAAGCTAGTCATCATTGAGCATGAACTACATGCTGGCATTACTACAGACTTTCTTGTTGGGTAATCTTTACAAGTCATTTTAGTCTCAGCTAACTTAAAACCTGAAGAAGGTAACTTTAGGGATAATGTGCAATTTATTCAAAGCCACTTAATTAAAGCAGTAGATACGGAACTTGAATCCAAGATGCCTATTTCCAAGCCAATAATTTTTCCTCTACCCACTATAGTCTCAGCTGCCTCATGTCTACTGACACATGCAGGATGTTTGGTAAATGTCCACGTTACTTAAAAAGAAAGCTTCCATGCAAGCAAGGATGATCAAAAGTAACTCAGGAGTCATAATTAAAGAAACACAAATACAAATGTGATGCCATCTGCACCTATCAGTTTGGCAAAGTTTAAAATGGTTAATATCCAAGGCGGACAAAAGCATGGAGTAAGAGGCTCTATCATACATTGTGGGGGAGTAAAGTGACACAGCCTCCTTGGTAGGCAAACTTGGCAGTAGCTATTGATATTTAAAATGAACAACTCTTAGACCCACCAACTTTAGGAATTTCCTCAAACGACATATTTGCAGAAGTACAAAAATATTTTAAAAAAAAGAAGTAAAAGGATGTTCATTACAACACTGATCTATTCACAAAAAACTAGTCACAACATTAGTGTCCTTTAAGGAGAATGTTTAATTATGACACACTTAAACAAAAGTGGATTTTCTGGCCACTATGAAGAATGAAGTGAATCTCTAATATTGATACATAAGAATGTCCCGGCTGGGCGCAGTGGCTCATGCCTGTAATCCCAGCACTTTGGGAGGCCGAGGTGGGCGGATCGCGAGGTCAGGAGTTCGAGACCAGCCTGGCCAACATGGTGAAACCCCATCTCTACTAAAAATAGAAAAAATTAGCCGGGCGTGGGGCGCGCACCTGTACTCCCAGCTACTCTGGAGGCGGAGGTTGCAGTGAGCCGAGATCGCGCCACTGCACTCCAGCCTGGGAGACAGAGCAAGACTCCGTTTCAAAATAAATAAATAAATAAATAAATTTTTGCTGAAAAAGATGCCTAATAGTAGGTATGTCATAATACCAATTATGTACCAATAAGAAGATATAGATATACCTATGAAAAGACACAGGCTGGTGTCACCACAACTTCTGAAAAAATACAAGAGAAACTTAACGGTGGCTATCTTCAGGGAGTAGAATAGGACGGGGCTTTTAGGTTACATCCTTCTATACTACTAAATTTTTAATCGAGTAAATGTTACTTTTTAAAGTCATCTTTTTTAGGATGGGGAAAAATGCACGAAGGAAAGAGTCAAGAATAGCTACAGGGCAGATCCAGGTGGACATTATTTACCAAGGTAAAAAGCTTGAACTTTTCTCCAAAAACCAATGGGGAGCCATGTACAAGTTTTAATAGGGGCATGATATATTCAGCTTGGCGTTTTTAACACATGACACTGCTGAGGACGGTGTGGCCTGGCTCCGAACACAAGGACAGTGGGATGCAAATGGCCTGAAAGGAGAGTCAACAAAAATAACAGGTAAGCGGGAAGACAACACGCGAGTTACTCATTAGTAAAAGGTGACTGAAGCTGACTTCTAATACCAGCGTTTCTCAGAGCCCCAAAGACTATCTACCTCGGAATCACCCTATGACCCAGTTAAAATGCAGATGTCTGGGCCCCACCTCAGGGCACCTGGATGAAAACTTCCTGGAGGATGGAACCCCAGCAATCTGCAACTTTAAATGGGCCCACACTAAAGTTAGAGAACCACAGGCTCGCTCACAACCCTGACTTCTCCATGTCAGTTCCGATCTTTGCGAACCGCAGACAGGGAAGGTCTTCTCTCAGGGGTCATGCCCGCGGCCGCCCTCCACGGCGAGGTCCGCACTCGCGCAGCCGGCCCCGCGGCCGCCTCACCTGGTCGCACACTACCACGTCGAACTCCTCGTCGGCGAGGAACAGCACGTAGAGCGCCAGGAAAACCATGCGCACGTAGGCGCAGACGGCGGCGCCGCGGCCGCCCCAGCCCAGGCCTCGCGGCAGCCAGTCCCCGGCACAGCGCACCGGTAGCTCGCGGCTCTCGGCGAAACAGTGGCCCGGGTCGTAGTGCGCTGTCCAGATCTTCACGCTACACCCGCGCGCCTGCAGCGCCAGCGCCGCGTCCAACACCAGCCGCTCAGCGCCGCCCACGCCCAGGTCTGGGTGGAGGAACAGCACCGACGGCTTGGGAACCGAGTCCCGTTCCCGGCCCTGCTCCTCCGCCATGGCCCTGGAGCCGCAACTGCACCCCGCACCCTGATGGGGGTCTTCTGCGCAAGCTCCGCGCTCGTAGCTCCCAGCTGGCCACTGCGGGCCGACCCCGCCCTGCCGTACGTGCGTCAGTTAGGCCACATCAGCGCAAATCTGTGAGGGTCTAGTAACTGCCTGAGAAAATATCTTGTCTGACCCCGGTTATATTTTTCCTTCGGTAGGGATTGGACTTTCTGAAGGACGTTGTGATCCAAAGGAAGGAGGCCGGAGGTCTCTACTTCCCATACAGCAGGTAACTAAGTTGTCTGTAGCAGACTGTCTACAGGCATATCGTGAGACGACCCAGGCGTCCCTGGGGTCAGAGAGGACCTTGCCTGCAAGTCCGGGGGCGGGGCCTGAGTCAGTCTCGCCAGCTGCCGGTCTTTCGGGGGCTCCGTAACTTTCTATCCGTCCGCGTCAGCGCCTTGCCACCCTCATCTCCAATATGGTATGGCGGCCCTTCCATGATCCCCGCCTCTCCCAGAAGCCCTGACTCCTCCTGCTTTGCGCCGTGCTTTTCCTCTGTAGCTCCCTTGCTTCCCCCAGCCTCGGGTGTGGGTGTCTAGGCCGGGGTTCTGGGGCAGGCCTGCCGCGCTCACCCGTCTGTCTGCTTGTCTCCCTCTACAGCCTGGTCCGACCCCCAGTGGCACTAACGTGGGATCCTCAGGGCGCTCTCCCAGCAAAGCAGTGGCCGCCCGGGCGGCGGGATCCACTGTCCGGCAGAGGTAAGGAACCCTGCAGTTCGTTCGCTTCCAGACTCGGAGATAGGACCCAGAACCTCGCTGATTCTGGGGTGGAGACCCTAGCATGTGAAGATTGACAAAGGCAAAATGAGCTTCTAGTGACGTGGCCGTGGGAGTAGTTAAAGGCCTTTTGGGAGGAAGGCGACATTTTTTTTCTCGTTGCTCAGTTTAGGGCACTACTCTTAAAAAAGGAAAGTTAACAAACTGGAATAGAGTCAGAGATAACTTTGAGAAAACCGATGTCATTAAACTGGTGTCTCTGGACCTGAGGTTTGCACTCACATTTCCATCTGGCGGCCCCATAAGCAATCTGTCCTACAGATAACTCGTCCTACACAAAACTTAGTCTCTTTTCAGCTCAGCTCTCTCACTCTCAATTATATCTCCTTACTTCCATATGGCACTGTTGTACACTCATTTACTCAGAGCCAGAAACGTCAGCGTCATCTTGGATTTTTCTTATGCTCTTTCTCTCTCTAGTCATATGCCAGACTTTAAACTCTGCTTGAAAGCTTTCTCATAAGCTCTTTCCTTTTCCCTTTCTACTGCTTTGCATTTGCTACTTAACCCTTTTCTTCAGGCTGTTTGCTTTCCAGTCCATCGTTCGCTCTGCTGTTACTCTTCTGCGTAGTTTCTGTTACTTGTTGCTGAACTAAAAAAAACAAACAAACAAAAAAAAAAAACCGGGGGGATACCAAAGCTCTTAGTGGTCATTTCAGCCTAACCTTTCTTTTTCCTTTTTTTTTTTTTGGGATGGAATCTCACTCTGTCGCCCAGGCTGGAGTGCAGTGGCACGATCTCGGCTCACTACAGCCTTTGCCTCCAGAGTTCAAGCAATTCTCCTGCCTCAGCCTCCTGAGTAGCTGAGACTGCAGGCACGTGCCACCACACCCAGCTAATTTTTTGTATTTTTAGTAGAGACGGGGTTTCACCATGTTAGCCAGGATGGTCTCGATCTCCTGACCTTGTGATCCTCCGTCTCTGCCTCCAAAAGTGCTGGAATTACAGGCGTGAGCCACTGCGCCCGGCCTTCAGCCTAATCTTTCTTTGCTGTCCTATGATCCAGCACTCGTGAACCCATTACTGTTTTCTGAATTCACAAACTTTCTCCCTCATCTCAAGGCAAATTTCTACTTATTTTCCAAGACTAAGCTCAGGGGTTATTTCCTCTTGAGGCCTTCTCTGTCTGTAAGCAGCAGTAGCTACTAGTTTTCCCTTTTGCCCCCATAGCATTTTGTTCATATCATTATAAGACCAGTGATGTTTCCATATTTATCTCCTTCATTAGACTTTAACAGAGAACCTGCTCAAGTCATTTCTATCCCAGGTACCCACCATAAGGCATGACACAATAAATAATGACTGAAGGAAGGAATCAAGCAACCAAGTTGTTTTGGGATTTTTGAAGGAACTAGTGGGGTTTTATCTAGGGAGGAAAAAATCTTGAACACATGCATGGAAACTTCTGAAGGATGTGAAGAGGGATGTGACATTTTCTGGCTGCAACAGGTAAATCTAAAACTGATGATTTGAACTTACATGAAATATTTCACATCAGAACAAAGACATTCTAATAGAACTGGCAGAAATGTAAAATTATCCTGAATGATTTTGAGTTCCCTGTCATTGGGATGTTCATGAGGAGTGTATCAGGCTGTGGTTTAACTTATATGGGCTTTGAGTGCTGTCCCCTTCCCACCCTGGGTTTTAGAGATTTTTCGTGCAGGAATGGAAAACATGTCCTGTGGGTGCGGTTCCTTGGGAATGGTTCTGCTTAATGAGAATTGGTAATACTGTGGCAGGGAAGTTTGGCCATCCGAGAATTTGTAAAGAAATAAAAGAAAAAGCACATATTTATCAAATGTACATATGATAATGAAATTATTTATTTAATAGTAAAAATGAAATAACTGATGCACAAGTGAAATGGAGAACTGAAACATTTGAAGACAGACAGATGCAGTTTTTAAAGTCGTGGGTGTTGGTGTCATCTTTTAGGATTCAGTGTGATAGAGCTAGTGTAACAAGAAAGACCATGGTTGTATGTATTGAGAGACCTGACAGTGTTTCCTTCTAGAATGGTAGTGATTAAGTATCATTTCATGAGTATAATGTAATAAGTATTGGTTGTTTAAGAATATCTTTGCTTTATAAGTCTGAGAAAACATTGGAAGTTAATGATTCATAATAGTGCTTTGGATTATGTTGTCTGTAGAGCTGCCTTCTCCATGCTTGATGAGGTGATAGATACTACCTTGGAGGAGAAATGTTATTAAATTTAAGCTCAGGCCAGAGTTGGTGTTCTTGCTCTCCTAAATACAATATAAAAGGAACTTGCTGTGAGGAGCAATAATGCTTTATAAACTGTAAAGGTGTGAAGTGCCACATAGTGTTCTAGCAGGATTAATGGGAATCAGGGATATTAAGATGGCGGAATAGCCACCAATGTATAGACATCAAGGTATTGAGGTCTACTACATGCCAAATGCTGTTTCATCTCCGAAGATGGGTCTGTGAACAAGGTAGGCAAGGTTTGTACTCATGAACCTTATATTCCAGTGTGGGAGATCAAACGCAAGGAAAATAAGACAATGTAATTTCAGGCAATAAGGGCTATGAAGATAAATAAAGCTGGGTGGGGGATAGAGAGTGGTGGGGATAGGGCAAAGGTAGGTAGTTGTTTTAGATAGGGTGTTCACAGTAGGTAATACCTGAGTAGATACCTGAAAGAAGCAAGAGAGCAAATCACACAATGGTTTGGGGACGAATAGGCCTCCTAGGCAAAAGGAGTGGGTAAGTATGAAGATTCTGAGGTCGATGAGGTTGGCTTTGAGGAGCAACAGAAGCACCATGTTAGAACCAAGTGTGTAACTGGTTAGTTTTGAAAACCATTGTGTTGAGGTATAGAAGGGAGAGACAGTTACACAGTGGCCAGAAAGAAAGGGTAAAATAGCCCCCAAATACAAATTTGAGAGATTCAATGTGTTTTATTAACCTTTACCTAGCTACCCCTAGGGAATGGGAAGTATTTTGAGTACACTTTAGTATTTCTAGGGGCTCTGGTTTTCAAATACTCTTCTATGTTCCATGCGCCAGCAGAAATAAGAAATCTTAAGAGAAGCCAGCCTGACTCCTCTGGGGCTCCTGTAATTCCAGGAAACTTTGAAGTCAGGAACTGGAGGTGTGATATTGTGGAAATAGTAGGAAGTGCATGCGTCCAAGTCCTGGCTCAGTCCATGACTATAATATGTTCACACTGGGTTTATCTTCTAGCTTAAAATCCTTTTCAATGAACAAGGAGGAAGATTTCAGCTGCATACCCCACAGATGGAATGACATATATCTGTGTGTGTGAAACCTTTTCTAAGGGCATGAATCTTTCTGTAAATCCCTGTACAGTTATGTTTTGCCATTTACAATCAGTTTTCCCATAGGAATGGTCACACAATGAAGTTTTAAGTTCCCAGGCTACCACGTAGTCCATAATTAATGTGTCTGAAATATAATCCTTGTAGTACAATAGACCCAAATCATGGTTTGGCACTGATTGCTTTCAAAGTTCTGGCATGAACACAGCTCTTCCTGTTAGAACCAGGACTGCACTCTCCCACTCCGTCATGTAGCAGGGCAGGCTCCCCGTGCTGTAGACAGTGCTTCCTGCATTCAGAATGTGGAGTAAAGACCGTGGTTGGGTAAAGGAGGCATGAGGACCAGAATGGGGAGGAAAGCAAGAAGAGATGGTAGGGATAGGGTTTTCACTTCTCTTCTTTTCCGTATATGCCCTTCCCTTTTTCAAAAATCCAGAATCATCAGCCCACAGATACTGGAATGAGATTTTGAGGGAGGGTATACTGGGATTTGATGCTGAATGGTGCAGGCAGCAATGAGATAGGCTTCCCCTCTCCTCCCCACTAGGACTTCTGAGTTGGTGATACATGGTCTGAAGAAAATTGCTTGTGACTTCTCACCACTTGCCCCTTACCCCCATATTGTACCACTCCAACATGGGGCACGATGAGCAGCTGGGGTTGGGGAAGTACTGCAGGGAAGGGTAGTTGCTGGGTGGGGTTCCCCGGTGACTGAGGGCTTCTCCCAAAGAGGAGAGAAAGGATTCCTTGGGCCTATTCCTTGGCAGCAGAGTCCTAAGTGCTGCTAGGCTGCTTCTGTCTGCCAGGGCTGCGTGTATTACATAGTGTATCTTACAAGCCTTGATCCCCTTGTGAGAGACACAAGGGGTGTTTTGGTTGGGTGTTCCCTGCGTTTTTTTTACATTCTACCTCTCTGTGCAAGATCTGTGATCACTATATTAAAATAGTGAAAACACGGCCAGGTGCGGTGGCTTGCACCTGTAATCCCAGCACTTTGGGAGGCCAAAGCAGGCAGATCATGAGGTCAGGAGTTCAAGACCAGCCTGGCCAGTATGGTGAAACCCTGTCTCTACTAAAAATACAAAAATTAGCTGGGCATGGTGGCGCACGCCTGTAATCCCAGCTAAGCAGGAGGCTGAGGCAGAAGAATCGCTTGAACCCAGGAGGCGGAGGTTGCAGTGAGCAGAAATTGTACTACTGTACTCCAGCCTGGGCAACAGAGCGAAACTCCATCTCAAAAAAAAAAAAAAAAAAAAAAAAAACAAACTAGTGACAACACATAACAAAGTAATTTTTTATAAAGTGTATACTCTATCTTGGGCCCTGGATATAATTAAAGCTTAAAGTTTTTGTCTGTTTGCAGTAAATATACTAATTTTAAAATACATCTTTTAAAGTAGCCATTTTAAGATCAGCTTGTATGGATTCAGGGCATTTTAAAACAGGAATTTATTATTTGGCTTCATGAAAGATGCATGTGAGGAGAAAGTGAAATGCTTTGTCCACATGACACAGCTGGATGTTTTGGGCATGCAGATGGGCTCCAGGGTCAGAGCTAGGTTCAGCCACCTGTTGGCTGCAGGGTCTTAGATATTTTGCTTAACCTTTTCTGAGGCCAATTTGCCTCATTTATAAAATGGAAAAATCGTGACTGCTTTTCAGGGTTATTGTATGCATTGGCATCAGGTAGGCACTTAGTTCATTGTGGTTATCATGATCAAAGGAGTAAAAGCAGGAATTTAGGTGGATTCTAGCAAAGAAAGTTTTTTTTTTTTGATTCCTTAACTGTGTAATAATGGTAGCATATGTTATAATGCTATTCTAATAATTTCCAGAAAAGGCCATTTGTAACATTTTCCTCTCTTTCAGGAAAAATGCCAGCTGTGGGACAAGGAGTGCAGGCCGCACAACCTCGGCAGGCACCGGGGGGATGTGGCGATTCTACACAGAAGATTCACCTGGGCTCAAAGTGTAAGTCTTAGGAACAGTCCTTGTGTTTCTGTCCAGTGGCAGCAGAGCAGCAGTGGCAGCACTCTGTCTCTGTCACCAGTAGCGTTTGCCTTGATGCGATTTACTGTACACAACAGCCTCATTTGTGCCAGGCGGACTGGGTTTGGTTTGCCTGTTTATCAACCGATTAGGCATTGTAGGGCCGGGAATGACATCTTTTCATGGAGTGAGGGAAAGGAAAGGAAGTTCTTCATGGAGCTATGTCAAAATAAATGAGAACAGAGAGAACTGGAGGGAAAACTGCTTAATTAGATGAAATTGCTCTTCATTTGGTGATCTTGCCCCGTACCAAGAAATAGGAGTAATCATTTGAATAGGAATTGGGTGATTTTTCAAAGTTCTCCTGAAGGCATAAGCTGATATTACTACAACCTGATGGAGGTTTTCCCATTAGGCTGTGTTACCAGGAGTTCCTTGGCCTCTTTGCCTTTGGTGGGTGGTGAGTAGACTCAGGAGGGTGAACATGTAATACCACTTTCCAAGTTCTTAGGCATTGGAGTGCTCATTAGGTGATGGGAAATGGGTGTCCAGGGACCCCTGTCCCCATGCCTTGCTCAGGGTTTCTGGTGCTGTGTGGCAGATCTTATCCCACAGATTTCTGTTAGGTTCCAGAACACCACTGCCTACAACTGTTTCCTGACTAAACTCGGTGGATGAGGATTCGAAATAATAACAGCAACTCTGATTTACATAGCACTTTGTACTTTGCAAAGAACTTTCAATGTCTGTTGTCTAGTTTGATCTGCCCAGCAATCCAGTGAGGTGAGAGATGTTACCATTTTGTAGATGAGGACCTCAGGTTCAAAGAGGCAAAGTGACATGCTCAAAGACACACAACAAGAGGTGGAACTGGATATTCTGATTAAGTCCTATGCTCTTTGCATATTGTCCATCTAGTTAAAATAAAAAAGACAAAATTGAATTAATTTGGATTAGTTTTAATTAATTTGACCAGCACCTTGACTTTAGTTTACAAAGTCACAAATTTGTAACTTTACAAATTTGTAAAGTTTTTATTAATTTTAATTAGTTTTTATAATTTTAATTAGTTTTAATTAATTTGACCAGCACCTTGACTTTAGTTTACAAAGTCACAAAAGGATCACAAATTTAGTTTATAAAGCCTTCCCTGGAATTCTTGTTTTCTCTTATATTGGAGACTTATATGATAATGTGAGAATATATCTAGGAAGTAATTCTTGGGGTTGGGGATATGTGAGGTGGGGGTATCCTGACTGCCAACCTTTTGGTCTTTGGTGGAGGTAGTTTGAGTATTTCAGAGAGAATTTTTTTTTCTCCTTTAGCGACAGGGTTTTGCTCTGTCGCCCAGGCTGGAGTGCAATGGCATGATCATAGCTCATTGTAGTCTTGAATTCCTGGGCTCAAGTGATCTTTACTCCAGGAGACAAAATTGGATAAATTTGGATTAATTAGTCCTGAGTAGTTGGGACTACAAGTGCGCACTACCATGCCTGGCTAGTTTTTTGTACAAGCAGAATCTCACTGTGTTGCCCAGGCTGGTTTCTAACTCCTGGCCTCAGCCTCTCAAAGTGCTGGGATTATAGGCATGAGAGGGAACCTCAGAGAGAACATCTGTAGCCCATTGCTCTTCAGGGGACTCATTTTAAACCCTTCTCAAGAAGGTTGTCTTTTAATTTTTAATTTTTATGGGTATACAGGTGTATATATTTATGGGTTATATGAGATGTTTTGATACAGGCATACAATGTGTAATAATCATATCAGGGTGTGTGGGGTATCCATTACCTTAAGCATTTATCCTTTGTGTTATAAACAGTCCAATTATACTGTTAGTTGTTTTACAATATACAATTAAATTATTTTTTGCTATAGTCACGTTGGTGTGCTAGCAAATACTAGGTCTTATTCAGAAGGTTGTCTTTAAATAAATCTTAATTTGAAAAAAAAAGTTTGGTAATGGGTTCATTTGCACTGAAAGAGTTTTCTTCTTTTTATTTGAGAAGACAACAAATACATGAAATTAGATTAATGTCTCCAAGACATCAGATCATTTCATTTGTATATGTTTTGGTATGTTTTACTAAAAGATAAGGACTCATCCTTTTTAAACACAATTGCAGTGCCATCATCACACCTTCAAAAGTATCCACAATAATAATTTTAGAAATATTTTAAAATGATACAAATAATGTTTCTGGATGAACCTTGAGTGCTGCCCACCTTACCTCTACTTTTCCCCTAGGCAATCTTTAGTATTGCAGATCTAATAGTATATTATTACTAAAAGTAAGCATGCTTTCTCTTCTTATTTCTAGTGGCCCTGTTCCAGTATTGGTTATGAGTCTTCTGTTCATCGCTTCTGTATTTATGTTGCACATTTGGGGCAAGTACACTCGTTCGTAGATTCAGTTACATCCATCTGTCATCTGAAGAAGGAGGAAAAAACCCAACATTTCTTGGACCAAAAGTATAGTGACTATCTGTTCATGAGAGAAATTTTCTGTAAGCTTGCTGTTTTACAGGGGATTTATCAATAATTGATTTTGAGGAATCAGTTTTTTTCTATGGCTAATAAACTTTTTAATTCACTTATACTGAGTCTGATCGTTGATGCCTCACTGCTAGGGCCCTTAGTCTTTCTGCCTTTAGATTTGTAAGTAAATATGTAGCAAATATGTCTGGTGAATATTGAGTTTTTTGTTGGATTGACAGTTCCTCACATGACCATGTGGTTATTCAAGTCCAAGATTCTGTAATTGCCCTTGGCTTGTTTTCTTCTAGGTATTTCTGTCCTGGCGATTGTCCTTTTGGGTATTCTGTGGTTATCAAGGAGTGTGTCTCTGACTCCGTCAGACAGATCTGTGTCCAAAGGAAGCTAGTACTTAGGAGAACAATCAAACAAGAAACCAGAAATCTCGGATGAAATGTTGGCGCAGTCTGTTCTTTGTCTTTAATAGGGCCATAGATTATATTTTGCCTCTTCTTTCTCAGTTCTTAATTTTATGAGTGTAGACCAGGGATTTCCATTCATCTACCTCTTACTGTTAAACCCATTTTGAGATAATCCATTTGATAAATTGGATTATCTCAAAATTTGG
Source organism: Homo sapiens (assembly GCF_000001405.40). NCBI lineage: Eukaryota > Metazoa > Chordata > Mammalia > Primates > Hominidae > Homo > Homo sapiens. The sequence goes on from NC_000009.12 coordinate 99,231,120, forward strand.
TAAGACTTATCTAATCAGAGTGAGATACTAGCATTTCTACACTGAGTCGATATAATTCTAACCAGAAATAAAACTTAAGTTTCACTTAGCTTATGTTGCCATACTGGGTATAAATAGTCAGTTTCTGGTACGCCCTAGGAAATACTGAGAATTGCTCAAAGGTAGCTTACTCCAGCCACAACTCCAAGCCAGAATTTCTGACAAGAGAGGGCATTCCCTGGGAAGTGTCCTAGTTGTCCAACAGAGTCACAAAATGATAAAGAGGTATATTATTAACGGTTAAGAAAAAACAGATAATTTTAAAAACATCTTTTTCATACACTAAGCCTATTTTTGAGAAAAAGTCTGAACAGTTAAGCAGTTTCTTAAGTGTTCTTTAAAATGCTAGCTGTAAAGTACTTTTAGATTCAAAGTGTCAAATTTAAATGATGAGAATATGTATCTTTAAAAAAGATTTCCTAGGGAAATATATTGGTAAGTGAGCTCTTGTAAATTCTAACAAATGGTATTTTATTGGGAAAAAATTGATGGGAAACTGGTTTTCTTGGATCCTGTGAGTTGCTTATTACATGAAACAGGTGTCTTCATTTTTGAAATGCAGGGAAAAATGTCTCAATTTCATTTGGAAGAAATTAAAGATGATAGTACCCATAATGGATTTTTTCCCTGATACCGAGTTTGATGGTACCAATTATAGCTAAAAATTATGCCTTTAATTTGGAAAAGAAATCTGTCCCTCTGTCCAGAGGGGCCTTTTCCTCTGGGGGAGATGCTGCAGCCACATGGGGGAGCTGTTTGGTTGTGAGGGGTGCATTCTCTTTGCTGCACCCATCTGCCTAGCCATGGTCTCTAGTGGACTACTAGCTGAAAGTCACTGAATTTTCTGAGCTAGTGATTTATAAGATGCTAGTTTCGGTGGCAGAACAGGGAGATGCTTCATTCAGCAGAAGGAAGAGAAGGAAAATTGGGGGTTGGGCATAAAGATATACAACATTATTATGTAGCTGCTTTGGGCTCTGATGGTACAATGCTCATACATAGCTGAGAATCGTGTCCAATCTGTTCCTTTTTTGTTTGTTTGTTTAATTGTAAAATACACATCACAGAATTTACCATCTGAACCAGTTTTAAGTATATAATTCAGTGATATTAAGTACATTCATAGTGTGCAACCATCACCAAACTAAAACTCCATGAATTAAACAATAACTCCTTCTCCCTGCCCCAGTCCATATGGACCTCATATAAGTGGGATCACGTAGTATTTGTCTTTTTGTGACTGGCTTGTTTCACTTAGCATAATGTCCTCAAGATTGATCCAAGCTGCAGTATATGTTAGAATTTCCTTTCTAAAGACTGAACAATAATATTACGTGTCTATACTACATTTTGTGTTCCTTTCTCTTTAAGGTATTCTCTTTAATAGGTATTCCTAGATTGTTGTTTCCTGAGCCCTAGGGAATAGGGATCTATAGTAAGTCTGAAAGCCTAATTAAATCTTTACCTTGGCCCAACAAATCCTCAGTCTCCCTTGAGCATGGACTATAATTCTAACCATTTCTGATGGATGCATAAGCTAGCACATGCTGAGTAGAAGCTCTAAGTAATTAAAACTGGAAAAATGAGTTACATTATAACTGCAGTTTGGGTCAAGCCTGTTAAGCCATTGGGGAAAAAATATGTTAAGAGAAAAGGCCCAGTGAGTCCATGAAACTAGTAGGGATTAGAAAGAGTAGGGTCTGTGGGCCCTAATATTACCCTAGACATGTTCCAGTGAGACAGTGGATGAGGATAGCATCTGTGCCTGGGAGAAGCTAAATATGTTGTAGCTTCTGTTTTCACACCTGTCCTTATCAGTCTTTTTTTCCAGGTGCCAGTGTCCCCACAGAAAGAATTGAAAAGGATGTTTTGAAATCATGCAAATGTTGGCATCAAGTTAAAATAGATGAAAATGCCTACAAAGCTGGATTCATTCAACAGAAAATACTGTCAAGCATGTGGAGCTCCTATGTGCAGGGAGCCATGCTCTTGATTCCCATAAAGCTGCCCCTTGGTAGCTCCAGAGCCATTGTCCCTCTCTTCAAATGCCGGAGGAGGGCCAGGACCAAGTTTGTTTGATTCTTTGGGTGCACCTTCTAAACTTAGCGTATCTACTTTACTCCATCTTCTGTGATCGGAAGTGTTCCTGACGTGGGTTCAACTGCTGGCCCTAAAACATAAGCAATTGTGTGATCTTGGGCAACTCACTTCTCTGGATCTCACTTTTCTTATGCATAAATGAGTATAGGTGTGATAATTCCCAACAGATAAGAGATTTGACGAGAAAGCTGTAAGAATGCTGCGTTAACTAGCTAATGTAGGGGAAGCTAAAGATCACCTCTACCATCTTAGTTCTTCAGTGGGATCTTCAGCTGGGTCTGGAATCAAATTGATACAAGACAAATTAACAGGAGGAAAGCATGCACATTGTATTAATTTTTACATTGTACATGGGGACCCTCACAAGAGAATAAAGACCCTAGGAAATAGCCAAGGGAGAAAACTTACAGGTTTTAGACAAAGAACAATAAATTTGTGAAGAAATGACAGGGCAAAGGGATCTGAGATGGGGGCAGTAAATTCTAGGGAAGTCACCAGGAGATATATGGGGTGGAGGGTTGTAGAGATAGTGGAATATAAGGGTTTCTTCAATAAGTTTATTTGTACAGGTTCATTGCAGCAGCAATGCTCAGGGCCTGATATTTTCTCACCTTGGTATGGGGAAGGCATCCTCCTCAAAGGATATTTTATGGTTTGCTACATGTAGGAAAGTACAGGTCAGATAACCCTTTCCACAACTACAGTTATTTAAGTGCTTACAGTTCCTTAAATAATCAATATATCAAATCGGCATATTTTGGGGTAGATCATCCTTAACTCCTTGACTAACAGTTAACAAGTGCGCATTTGCAACAATTTTAGAGATACGGTTTTTTTATTTAATAAGCAATCTAATGAGGAGTTTGCTCTTTGCCCCATTTTACACAGGAGGAAACTGAAGCTTAAGCCACTCAGCTGATAAGTGGAAGAGCTGGGATTTCACTGCAGATCTTTGACTGACCTACTAGAGTTACGTAGATGGGAATCTTAAGTATTTGGGGTGAGGGAAGGATATCCCAACAATAGAGCTTGAAAGGTAGTGCCTTTAAAAATAACAGTCCCAAGAATATGCCCCACTATTGTTTGATGTAATTCAAGCCTTAAATAGCTTTAGTTTGAGGTTTTAGATTCTGCAGAAGGAATTGGTTTTTGTATTTCAGTCCTTCTGAGCTTTGTTCATTCTATGGAGCTCTTGCAGTTATAGAGAAAGCATAGTGTTTAGGCATCAGCAGACATTTACTGGGCACTGTGTGCCATGCCCTTTTATTGGGGTTTTAGAAATGACCTGGCAAGGTCATTAGCTTAAATGGACTGGGCATTTGTATACTAGGATCCTATTCCTATCTGGGGCTACAAATTAGAAATGGCTATGTGATTATGGAAAAACCAGTAGGAAGCCCTCTCAAACCCCCTTGCCATTGGTGAAATCAAATAGTCAGGACCACAGTTTAAGAACTAGTATGCTCATGGTGTATGGGCTGTGGTGCCAGGGATTGCAAAACTGGCACTGTCCCCAGGAAATCCATACTGTGTGATCGCTTGTCCAACAGAGGAAAAGCAGAGAATCCTGAGATGCCCTAGCTGGAAGGGCTGCGAGTTCACTGGGTTTTCTCCATTGTATGACAGAGGAGACAGGCCCAGAGAGGGGAAGGGACTTGCCTGAGATTGTGCAGCAGGTTTGCAGCAGAACAGAGGCCAGAACCAGTCTTTTCTGTTTCCAGATCAGGGCTTCTTCCCAGTACTGCACTATGAACCCAATTTTGAGCCTGTGCATAAGCCTGTTGACGTCTCTAGAGGGTAGGCTCTGGAAGTAGGTAAACTAAGTGGTAGGCTTTGAATAGTGGGCATTGTTAATCAAAGGGGAAGGAGTGAAGACAGCAAGACTAGCTAGTAAAAATAAAATCAATTATGTTAGCAACTTTAGGAGAAAGTCAAGTTCATGAGACTTTATAGAGACAAAATAGGGAGAAGCAGCTAGCAGAACTGCAGTGTTTTGCATTTTTGTGACCACAAATGTTAGGTGAGCCTGGAACACAGTGAAATTGACCAAGTAGGGTTAAGGTTTGAGAAGGGCTAAACTGTTGAAATGCTATTCCTGGTCACTCTGACAACTGGGTCTCTTTCCCATGCTGAAGGCATTAAAATAAGATAAAACATGCAAATGCACCAAATTGGAATCAAAGGTATAGTCATACAAAGTCTGGATTGCTCCATTTTAAGGAAAGGTCTAGAAGTTTATGCCTCAGAAAGCAAATGAAGACATGAGGGGAAGAATTTGAATTACATATATAAAGATTAAATTAGTCCTGCAAACATGCATACTCATTTTTCTTCCCATTGACTCTGGTCACACGCATCGTAGATAATGAATCACGTAGTTGCGTGCTCTATTGTCTTTCCTGTTCTACTCAATAATACAGTTGCCAGTAAGAAAACATGCTCATTCTTCTAGGGATCTATCTAAATTGGTCTGGGTTGTAGAATATAGAGCAACTTGCTGCTTAGATGAGTGGTTCCCAAACTTTAACATGCATCAGGGGCACCTGGAAGGAATCTGCAGCTGCTACATAGCAGATTTTGAGATCACTCAACTGGGAGTCTCCACTCCCTAAAGCAGGAGCCCAAAGCAGAAATCACAATGTGGGGCCAGGGTCACTGGGCATATACTTTATTCTAGGCCCATCACCCAAACAGGTGTGTTAAATTTGTCCCCCTTTCTCTTCTTTGAAGTTGTAACCAGGGTACTATTTGTTTTGCGTTGTCTGCACTGTGTCTGGGGAAGTACGCCTTTTCGTGTGTGTGCTAGCACCTGCTGGGATGCACAGTCACAGCTGTAGAGCTGGAAGGCCCTGAGAAACCACAGAGCCCTTCATTCTGTTCTTTTTTGCATAGCAGTGCCTCTTTTTATAGAGGATGTATTAGGCTGTTCTCGCACTGCTATAAAGAAATACCTGAGACTGTGTGATATGGTTTGGGTCTGTGTCCCTGCCCAAATCTCATGTCAAATTGTAACCCCCAGTGTTGGAAGTGGGGCCTGGTGGGAGGTGATTAGATCCTGGGGGCAGATTTCCCCTTTGGTGTTCTTGTGGTAGTAAATTATTGTGAGATCTGGTTGTTTAAAAGTGTATGGCACCTCCCTGCCTCTCTCTTCCTTCTGCTCGGGCCATGTAAGAAGTACCTGCTTCCCCTTTGCCTTCTGCCATGATTCTAAGTTTCCTGAGGCCTCTCCGGCCATGCTTCCTGTACAGCCGTGGAACTGTGAGTGAATTAAACTGTTTTTTTGTTTGTTTGTTTTTTTTTTTTTTTTTTTACAAATTAGCCAGTCTCAGGTATTTCTTTATAGCATTGTGAGAAACCACCCCCATACTCTAATCACCTCTCACCAGGTTCCACCTCCAACATTGGGGATTGCATTTCAGTATGAGATTTGGGCAGGGATACTATATAGATATCCAAGCTATATCAGAAGACATGCTGCCTGAGCTCAAGCAATCCTCCTGCCTCAGCCTCCTGAGTAGGTGGGGCTACAGGCATGAACACCATGCCTGGCTAACTTTTTTTTGTTTTTTGTAGAGGTAGGATCTCAAATTCCTGGCCTCAAGTGATCCCCCTGCCTTGGCCTCCCAAAGTTCTGGGATTAGAGGTGTGAACCACCATGCCTGGCTTAAAGCAATTTTCTGATGACTGATTATGCTTTCCAGATATCTTACTCTTGAGAAAGGTGGTACCCCACATTTGAAACACAAGCATTTTGGCTCACTAGAAGGATATATCCTCCATTGTAAATAAAAAGTCGGCCTCTTTATGCATGAGGCAAGCGTTGTTTCTGTTTAGATTGGTCTGGATCTAGTCATCTTTAGTTGTTCATCTCCAGGTGAACTGAGAAAAATCCAGTGTTCTGATTTGAGAAGCCAAGAAGACCTTGGCTGATGGTAAATTTTTAGCAGGGAATCTGGTAGTGACCAGTTTGCTTAGCAGAGCTGATGGCATTCACATCACCATGTATAGAACTTGGACCAGTGAAGGCACAGCCAGCTGGGATTTGCTGTTACACATAGCAGCTTAGGGAGCCAGATTCTAGTGATCACTTATGTGTATTCTTTCATTCCTGAAATGAACTCCACTTGGTCATTGTGCTGAAAAGAGTTATCATAGCCAGCCAGACCCTGCTATTTCTAGAATGTTCTGTTTGCAAGGTTGGACCTTGGCTGGTGTCTGAAAACTTGGCATTTGAATCATTCCCTAACTGATAAGGCTGATTGGGCTGATTGACAATGTGGTTTATCCAGTACACCAGCTTTCCTTCTGAGGAAGGTAATTCCTCTGAGAGTCTGGAATTTTGGTAGTTGCCAGGCAGAAGAGGCCCATGTGGCCAGCCACCAACAAAAAAACCTTGGGTGCTGAGTCTCTAACAGGCTTCCTGGCAGAAACATTATTGCATTGATTGTTGCTAGAGAAAGGAACTTGCTTGCAGTGTTCCTTACAGAAGGGAGAGAATATAGGAAGACTGTGCATGGATTTCTCCATTCCACCCATGTCTTTTTCCTCTGGTGATTCTGTTGTGTCCTGATATGGTTTGGCTGTGTCCCCACCCAAATTTTATCTTGAATTGTAACTCCCACAATTCCTGTGTGTCATGGGAGGAACCCAGTGGGAGGTGATTGAATTATGGGGGCAGGTCTTTCCTGCACTGTTCTCATGATAGTGAATGAGTCTCATGAAATCTGATGGTTTTAAAAACAGGAGTTTCCCTGAACAAGCTCTCTTTGCCTGCTGCCATCCATGTAAGACGTGACTTATTCCTCCTTGCCTTCCGCCATGATTGTGAGGCCTCCCCAGCCATTCAGAACTGTAAGTTCATTAAACTTCTTTTTCTTCCCAGTCTCAGGTGTGTCGTTATCAGCAGCATGAAAACAGACTAATACATGTCATTTCCCTGTAATGATCCTTAACTGTGAGGACGATTATATATTGAAACCTGAGTCATTCTAGAAAATCATTGAATATGTGGTGGTCGTGGGGACCTCCAAAAAAGTCGTGATGTATTATTTTTAATGTGCTACTGGATTGTGTTTGCTAATATTTTATTTTCTTTATCAATATTCTTAACTTCAATTCCCCTTTATCAAACTTTTACTGAAAGCTTTTCCAACATTCACATTGTTCTAGATATCTTGACATATAGCAACTTCTGTACTCTTTTGAGGAATTCATGACAACCTCTTTTACAGGTGAGAATACTGTTGCCCACAGAGGTGGAGTGACTCACACAAAGTTCTATAGCTACTGACTGTATAGCAGAGAGGGGAGCCAGGGCTGTCTGCCTCCCAGTTAGGGTGACCATTCTGGTTTGCCCTGGATTGAGGGGTTTTCTCCAGGCTGAGGGGTTTCCTGGGACATGGGACTTTGAGTACTAAAACAGAGATAGTCCTGGACAAATCAGGACTGTTGGTCACCCTACTTAAGTCTACAGCTTTTAAAAAAAATACTTTATCCAAGTGGATGCTTCTATTTTCATGAAAGAAAGCTTGTCCCCATTAGGATTTGGGCATATTTAGACACAAATTGGAAGTGCCAGACACCTGGTCTTTCAAGGAGAACAATTTCCAAATTCCTTTTCTGAGTGCCATACATTCTGCATCTCCCAACCTAGTTTGCTTTGTGCTTGGCTCTTTGCTCTTCTCCACCAAGCCCCCCCTCCCCCCGCTCTGCCCACCACATTTTTCAACATTACTGGTTTTAATTTCCTTTACCATCCCCGTTGCAAAAACTTCTTTCCTGATTTAATTACTATTTCTCTTAATTCAATTTTATGCTCTTGATTGTCGTTAAACTCCTAAAGTTGTTTCTCCAAAGAATTTAATGGCTAGGCCTTGTGCTTAGAGATTAATTGTTGTCATTTTGCTTTCAAGCACAGGTACTTTCTTACTTCTCTTCAGTTATCTTTGGGAGAAAGGAAAGTGACCATCCTTCTTCCCAGGGCTGCTCTGAGAACAAACACTGCCGGGGGCTGCCTTTTGAGAGAGAGAGAAAGCCAGACCTCTTAAATTTGTCTTCCACCTTCTACTGACTCTAATCTCAGCATCTGTGAATAGCCAGAGAACCTCTGGCTCCTCAGGTGGGCTCAGGCCATGAACGGATTGTAGGGAGGGCTCTAAAAACAGCAGCCCAGGCTTGAGATAGGGTGGCTTTCTGCCAGGAGGGATTTGCACAGTGAAGAGGGGGAACAAGGGCTGGCTCTAGCCTCAAACATCCTGCCTGGCCAAGGTCCCCCAGAGGAACTAAGCCTGTGACTCAAAGGAAAAAGGAATACTTTTGGTTAGAATTTCCCTTCCCTGGAATGTCCCTCTTGGGGATAAACCTACTCCTGAGCATCTTTCTCACGTTCACTGTACAGTAGCTAAAAGGCTTTGACCTTTGAGTCTTCTCCCTGCAGCCCACAAACTCTTGATTTTCCCACCTCTGTCACCCCTGGATCTCCTGTTTTCCTGTGCAGATCCTTGACAAACAGTGGCCAGAGGTAGAGGAATGATTTCAGGCTGGAGCTCTGGCAAGCTCCCTTTACAATCCAGTTGTGTAACTCTGCCCCTGTGTGGGTGAAGCAACCCTGAAAGGTAGAAAGCACAGGCTCTGGGGCGGGCCTTAGACCCTGCCTGGCACTTAATGAGCCATGTGATCTCGTGGCTCAGCTGCCTCTGAACCTCAGTTCCCTGGTCTGTGGATAATCAGATATAGAACCGTATAGAAGGGATGCGGGGCTGACTTTTATTTCATGTGAGGGTTAAATGAAAGAATTGAAGTAAAGTATTCAGCACAGTTTCCTGGCACATAAGCCTTAAATAACAAATATTATCAACATTGAGTAGCATTTGGTCCTACATCAGTCATAGAATCTTCAACTTTTAGGACTGAAAAGGAAACCGAAGTCCTGTAGGCCAACCTTCCCTCCCCACTCCCAATTTGATTATGAAATCCTCTATTCAGCCTTTGACTTTGCTAGCAGACCTTTTGTGATGGGGCAGCTCACAGCTCTTGGGGAATCCCTGCCTTCTTTGGGCCATTCTGTAAATGTCAAGGAAGAGCTCTGTGTACATGTGTGATGTATTTAAACTGCTTTCCAGTTGCAGGGAACAGGAAGCCTTTCCCTATTCCCTATTCAGGTACAATAATGTAGGCTGCTAGGGAACAAGATCGAACAATTGGAGAAGGCTTTTGTGGCTAACTCAGTGACGTACTTGCAGGTGAGGGTTCCAGACTCCAGAGTCTCCCTTTACCTAGTTCTTGGGAGTCTAGTGCAGCTGAAGACGAGGTACTGCGGATGAAGAGGAAGACGAGGTACTGCGGATGAAGAGAAACCCAGATGATCCAGGCACATTTTATAGACAAGGCCTCAACGACCCCAAAGGAACCTTTGAAATCACCCTTTTCCTGGGTTCACGACGACTTGTAAACGATACCATCCATCCCTGCTTATTCATAGTTATTAAATACCAGAATAAAGAGATTAGAGCTCATGAGGTGCTTCGTCCCCATCACTCGGGCTGCTTGGCTGCATTTATGATGAGAAGGCTCTGGGTGTTTAATAAAGTATCTGATATGTCTAATAAAATCCTCCCATGGCCCTGCTGATGTTACTATAATAGCTTCATGTCACATGCTCTTGTGCTATTGAGCCAGTACCAGAACATATTTTAAATTCTTATTATGTCTATTTAATTTTTATTTAAAGGAAATTTTCAAGGTTTAAAGCAGGTACCGAGGTACCTAGGTGTGAAGACCTAGAAATGTGCTGTAATATTTATCAAAATAGTAATGGAGTGATTTAAGGATAGTATAGGAATAAGCAACTGTGCATTCGTGGCTTATCTAGTTATAGATCTGTACTGTTCCCCTAAGAACTGCAATTTGTGAAATAATGGCTTCTCATTGTTATGCCACATCTATTTATAAAAAGCTGAGTTTATTCTCAGTGCTCAGTAGTTTTTTTTTGTTTTTTTTTTTTGAGACAGAGTCTCCCTCTGTTGACCAGACTGGAGCACAGTGGTGCGATCTCGGTTCACTGCAATCTCCGCCTCCCCGGTTCAAGCAATTCTTATGTCTCAGCTTCCTGAATAGCTAGGATTATAGGCGTGAGCCACTACGCCAGGCCTCAGTACTTAAAAGATTTTATCTTACTTTAATGATATATTTTATATAAGCTTCTGGAAGGTTAGAGCAGGATTGGACCTTAGAACTTAATTTGACCAATTCCTTCCTGACAGTAATGACAAAATTGAGGCCCAGAGAGGGGAAGGAATTTGCCCAAGGTCATACACGTAATAAAGGCAGAACTGGGATTCAAGCCTAGATTTTTACACTTCATGCTCTTGCTACCATAATAAGAAGCCCTTAAAATACCTATACGTACCTGGCTTTCATATACACACCTCCATGAGAGGGAGGCAACGTGTACACGTAAACATGCTTGTGACAAGGGAATTGGCAGTGATAGCTGTTGTCACTGGCCGCCAGGACCCACATGGCCTATCTGGTTGCTTAGGTGGCTGTTCTCTTTCCTCTCTCCCTCTTCCTCTTGAGTCCAGGTGTAACTAAGGCATTATAAAAAACAGACAAACCTTGACATCGGAAGAGCTGACTTTCTTTTTTTTTATTTTTATTTATTTATTTTTTTATTATATTTTAAGTTCTAGGGTACATGTGCACAATGTGCAGGTTTGTTACATATGTATACATGTGCCATGTTGGTGTGCTGCACCCATTAACTCGTCATTTACCTTAGGTATATCTCCTAATGCTATCTCTCCCCCCTCCCTTCACCCCATGACAGGCCCCGGTGTGTGATGTTCCCCTTTCTGTGTCCAAGTGTTCTCATTGTTCAATTCCCACTTATGAGTGAGAACATGCGGTGTTTGGTTTTTTGTCCTTGTGATAGTTTGCTGAGAATGATGGTTTCCAGCTTCATCCAAGTCCCTACAAAGGACATGAACTCATCCTTTTTTATGGCTGCATAGTATTCCATGGTGTATATGTGCCACATTTTCTTAATCCAGTCTATCATTGATGGACATTTGGATTGGTTCCAAGTCTTTGCTATTGTGAATAGTGCTGCAGTAAACATACGTGTGCATGTGTCTTTATAGCAGCATGATTTATAATCCTTTGGGTATATACCCAGTAATGGGATGGCCGGGCCAAATGGTATTTCTAGTTCTAGATCCTTGAGGAATTGCCACACTGTCTTCCACAATGGTTGAACTAGTTTACAGTCCCACCAACAGTGTAAAAGTGTTCCTATTTCTCCACATCCTCTCCAGCACCTGTTGTTTCCTGACTTTTTAATGATCGCCATTCTAACTGGTGTGAGATGGTATCTCATTGTGGTTTTGATTTGCATTTCTCCGATGGCCAGTGATGATGAGCATTTTTTCATGTGTCCGTTGGCTGCATAAATATCTTCTTTTGAGAAGTGTCTGTTCATATCCTTCGCCCACTTTTTGACGGGTTTTTTTCTTGTAAATTTGTTTGTGTTCTTTGTAGATTCTGGATATTAGCCCTTTGTCAGATGAGTAGATTGCAAAAATTTTCTCCCATTCTGTAGGTTGCCTGTTCACTCTGATGATAGTTTCTTTTGCTGTGCAGAAGCTGGAAGAGCTGACTTTCAATCCAGCTGTCCCTTCACCTTTCTGGTCCTCATTATAAAATGAGCTGACTTCCTCTTATCCCAATGCTAACTTCAGCACCTGTCCTGTGGGATGCAAATGGCATTGGTTCAAAAGCCACCCCAGTGTAGTGAGACAAGCTTCTCTAGACTTTCTGGGTAGGAAGGAGGGTCGGAGGGGGGGTATAGATGTTAATGTTTCCTTGTCCTCTCTACCTGTGAGATCCTGTTTATTTTGAATTAATTTCATGGATGGATCAATTTGCTTTCTCACATGTGCTGTTCTGGTCTCACACCACATTGTTGAGGAAATGCAACCCCTTTTCCTTGATTTCCCCTCATAAGCACACAAGGCATCTACACACATGTAGCTGCCATTATAGAAGACTTGAGGAAAGAGAAGTTTGCATCACTGTGTTGCTTGTTGCTTCTTCTTTTTAGAGAACCTTTCTGCAGGGTTCATCCCAGAAATTCCCCATTCTTCACTTCAAAACACAGAATCACTAAGCTCATCAATTCTCTATCATTTAGAAACTATATTTTGGCCCAACAGAGACCTGTATAATATGCCTTAAATGAGGTCTAAGGTTTTTCTCTCAGGTAAAAGAAGTCTTGAAGTAGGCATTTGGCTTGTCCATTTTGGGCTGCTATGATAGAATACCACAGACTGGTAATGTATAAACAATGGAAGTGTATTCCTCATAGTTCTGGAGGTGTTGAAGTCCAATATCAAGGCACTAGGAGGTTCGGTTTCATTGTCTGGTAAGACTGCATCCACTATAAGGGCAGGATGCTGCATGCTCATATGGCAGAAGAGGTGAAGAGCAAGCTAGCCAAATCCTGCTGTGTGAAGGCTTTTTAAAAATGACCTTAATTCCACTAACAAAGAAGAAGCCCTCATAACCTGACCACCTCTAAAAAGCCACACTAAATATATTACATTGGCAACGCCTGAATTTGAGGTGAGGGGACACATCCAAACCACAGAAGCATTCCAGGGCTGATGTGGTAATGCTACCATCTCATTAATGTCCTTATCTCCTCTTGTGTTTCTGTTTTGGTGTACTTAGCACAAGCTCACTGTCCTCAATCAAGGCCACCTCATACCTGCAGAGTGGCTGCCGCAGCACCAGTTATTACATCCATATTTCGGGTAGAGGAAGAAGGAAGGTCAACAAGAGACCTGCCAACAGAGTCAGCCACTTTTTTAGGGAGCATTTCCAATCCTACACAATAGTTTCTTCATTCCATTAGCCTGAAGGTAGTCACATGACCGCTCTTATCTAGAAGGGAGGATAAGAAATCTAATTTTTTAGTGGGGACACATTTCTGCTCACCAAAAAGTCAGGGCCCTAAAGAATATATTTTGGATAGGCCAACAGCAGTGTTTGCCGCAACCCTCAATTCAGCTCTGGATGTATCTTTGCATAGCCAGGGATGCATTTTTTAATTAAAACTAAGAGGCCATGCCATTGCTGAAGGGTGGGGAACTGGAGCAGAAGAAATGTCTCTGTCCTTCATCTGCTGTCTTCACTAACAGTCTCTGAAAGTGGAAGGGGCAGTAAAGAAATTTACTTTCCCACTGTTGTGAAATTTACCACCCTCCTTATAAGGCAGAAGTGGTTACAGTTGCTTTTTATTTTCCTGTTACTATACCCAAGGATTGTTGTGAGAATCAGAAGACAGATATGAGAAATCATGTTGTGAACTATAAAATGCTATTAAATGACAGAAATGATTGTTTGTCATTATTATGAGTGTTGTCATGTCTCCCAAAGCTGCCTGCTCAGTTGAAGAAAAGTGTTTTCTGATAGAGAGTAAGACTGAGAACCAAAGAGAAAAGGAGAGAGGGAGATAGAGAGAGGAGGGGGAAGAAGAGCGATAGAGAAAGAAAAAGAGAAAGAGAGAAAGACAGAGAAAGGAAATAGACTGATAAGGAAGGGTGGGAGGAGAGAGAGGGACAGAGAGAAAGGAAATAGAGTGAGGAGAAGGGGAGAAGGAGAGAGAAGGGGAAGGGAGACTGGGAAGAAGGAAGGGAGGGAGAGAGAGAGGGACAGAGAGAAGAGGGGAAAAGAAAGAGGGGAGAGAGGAGAAAAGACAGAAGGGAAGAGCGTGGAGGTCTTTTTTCTATCAAAAGCAGAACAGAAATACATTGACATAATTGAAACCCATGACTGACCACAAGCATACATACAACTCTGGTAGACAGCTTCAAGGTACTTAGGTTTCTCTGACCATTTAAAAGTATCTTCCTCATTTCCAAAGCGGTATATGCATACTGAAGACTATGAGAAACATATGAAAAGGCACAGGGGAGTTTTTTTTTAACTGCTTTGTTGATGTATAGCTGACATAGAATAAACTGCACATATTTAAAGAGTATAACTTGATACATTTTAATGAAAGTATACACTGCAAAACCATCATTATAATCAACGTATCTATCATCCCCAACAGTTTCCCTGGGCTCCTTTGAAAGCCCTGCCCCCGGGCACCCACTGGTCTGCTTTCTCCCACTCTAGGTTAGGTTGCATTTTCTGGAAATTTATACAAATGGAATATCAAATTCCATATATAATGTATGTAATCTTTTTTTTGGCCTGGCTTTTTTCATATAGCAGTATAATAATTAATGATATAGACCCAGCAGAGTTTGAGATATTCAATTAATTCATTAATTGAATTAATTCAGATATTCAGGTATTGAGATTAGTTAATATTGTCATATTTGCTTCAGCTTTCCTCGTTTTTTTGAGTAATGTGATCTATACGAAGAGAAAATGTTTTTAAAAAATACATCTTAATGCATTGTAATTACACAAATTACATTATAATTAAGGAAACCCCTGTGTAACCACCACTCAGGCCAGGAAAGGGAGCTTTGCAAGCACCCCTAACCTCCCAGTGTCCCCTCCCCAGGTCATCACCAGCCTCCCTTTTGTGAGAATCATTTTCTTGCTTTTCTTTTTGATTTTACGATGTATGTATGCATCGCAGTATGATAGAGTGGACTTAGCTGTTTGTGAATTTTATATGAATGAAATCACACTGTATGTCTTCTTCGTGACTTGCATTTTTTGCTTTGTTTGTGAGATTCACCCCTGTTGTACCATGTAGCTATGTTTTATTCATTTTAATAGCTATAGAGTATTCCGTTGTATAAATATACTGCAGTGTGGCATAGCCCACTCTGGAGAGAGAGCTTTTAAATGTGATCAATACAGTTTGGCTTTTCGTTAACACTTGTAGCCATCAGACAGTCCTTACAGGATAGAAACAACGAAAACATCTACCCTTCCCCTGGATGCCAGTACCCCCGCCCCACCCTACTGTGTGTCCACAAAAAGTTAATACTATAAATATTTACAGATGTCAATCATAAGTATTTATAGGAATATCTTCTGCCCTGGTATAGTCTTCTTTTTGAAGAAGCAAGCACACAGTTGATTTTTTTCAAAAATCAAAAACTTTTTTTTGTTTTTTCGAGACGTAGTCTCGCTCTGTCGCCCAGGCTTGAGTGCCGTGTCGTGATCTCCGCTCACTGCAAGCTCCGCCTCCCGGGTTCACGCCATTCCCCTGCCTCAGCCTCCTAAGTAGCTGGGACTACAGGCGCCCGTCACTACGCCCGGCTAATTTTTAAAATATTTTTAGTAGAGACGGGGTTTCACCATGTAAGCCAGGATGGGAACTTTTTTTTTTTTTTTTGCATCATGTCGGTCTGAACACAGCTAGTTAAATTTTCTGTGGGAAACAGGAAAAAGAGGAAGAGGTTGGACATTCCCTTTCAAGAGGCTGCTCTTCCACTTCCACTGTTTTTCTCAGGCCCTCAATCCAGAGGTTCCTAGACGCCATTATTCACATTCTTCTTTAAAAGATGCTCTCACAGCATAAGAAGTCAAAACCTAGCTCTCAACCCCATCAAAAAGTGGGCAAAGGACATGAACAGACACTTCTCAAAAGAAGACATTTGTGCAGCCAAAAAACACATGAAAAAATGCTCACCATCACTGGCCATCAGAGAAATGCAAATCAAAACCACAATGAGACACCATCTCACACCAGTTAGAATGGCAATCATTAAAAAGTCAGGAAACAACAGGTGCTGGAGAGGATGTGGAGAAATAGGAACACTTTTACACTGTTGGTGGGACTGTAAACTAGTTCAACCTTTGTGGAAGTCAGTGTGGCGATTCCTCAGGGATCTAGAACTAGAAATACCATTTGACCCAGCCATCCCATTACTGGGTATATACCCAAAGGACTATAAATCATGCTGCTATAAAGACACATGCACACGTATGTTTATTGCGTCACTATTCACAATAGCAAAGACTTGGAACCAACCCAAATGTCCAACAATGATAGACTGGATTAAGAAAATGTGGCACATATACACCATGGAATACTATGCAGCCATAAAAAATGATGAGTTCATGTCCTTTGTAGGGACATGGATGAAATTGGAAATCATCATTCTCAGTAAACTATCGCAAGAACAAAAAACCAAACACCGCATATTCTCACTCATAGGTGGGAATTGACCAATGAGAACACATGGACACAGGAAGGGGAACATCACACTCTGGGGACTGTTGTGGGGTGGGGGGAGGAGGGAGGGATAGCATTAGGTGATATACCTAATGTAAATGACAAGTTAATGGGTGCAGCACACCAGCATGGCACATGTATACATATGTAACTAACCTGCACATTGTGCATATGTACCCTAAAACTTAAAGTATAATAATAAAAAAAAGTTTATTTCTAAAAAAAAATAAAAAATAAAAAAAACCTAGCTCTATGTTTCTTCATATAGAAGAAGCATTATAATAAAAGTAATTTAAGTCAGTGCTTGCTGTCTGACTTTTATTTTTCAAAAGGGTTCAGTGTATTATTCAAATGTCAAGAATAATGATTTTGACCTTGGCCTGCGGGCAGGTGGACCACACTGTCTCTCCCCAGCCCTTTCTTCAGAATCTCTGTTAATTCTATAACACCTTCCGTGTCTGCTGTCATTGTGGTTTACAGGCACCTTGTCACATGGTGAATAATTGGATCGCCATTCAGTGAAGTAGAGAAATAATTTTAATCCCAGTTGTACAGATGAGATAATCGGAGCATAAAGAATGTGGGCTTTTCAAGGTCACACATCAAGAAAGTCACGAAGCCCGTTTCCATTTCTCGGTCTAGGTAAATATGAAGCCCACATTTCCATGTTCCTTCCTCTCCCTGAAGGGGAGGTCCAGCCATTGATTTTTTGTTTACATTGGGGTACACTGGTACTACTCTTTGGGTATTTGGGGGCAAGTGAAAACACCATTAAGAGAGAAGAGCCTTTTGAATCTCAGAGGAGTCAATAAGAAAATGGGCTTTTCAGGAGGTGGGAAGAAGAGGCAGAGTTGGGAAAGTAGGCTCTTTTTCTGTGAGCAGGGATATATATTTGTTCCTCAATCAGCATGCACACCGGGTCCCATCACTCTCTGCCTTCCATGCTTTCACAGCTCTTTTCCTTGATATTCCAATTCTGTGGTATTTGTTTTTTTCATTCTTTTGATATTCAGTAGTCATCATTCTATTACAAAGGAGAACTTTCTCTCTCTTCCACCTATTTATGTTTTCATTTATTAATTTATGTGACTAGAGTCTCATGGAACCTGATTTATTCCATGGGTTTTGATGATCACTTGGAAACCCCTTTATGCTGGCTCCTGTGACTTTCTGGCATGTTCCCATGATTCTTTGAGCATATTCTTACTTTGGGCTACAAAAACGAGTGCTGAGCTCATTGTGTACTTTCACTGCCTCAGCCTCAAATTCATAGTATTTTAGAAAAGGTAGTTGAAGGTTTGAAGGCTTGAGCCATAGTAGAAGTCAAAGAGGAACATAATTTCTCCTAAAGATATAACTCTTCTTGGCCTTCAAATGAAGGGATTAAGAGGACAATGCCCATCTTGATTATATGTGCCTGCAGTTCAGCCCAAGGATAAACAAATCTGTTTGTCTTAAATTTCTTATGACAGTTTTATAGAAGATAATTTTAAACTGAGCTTCAGATGATACCAGATGGGAAATGGAAGATCACGTTCATAGGATGGGGTCATGCATGGAATGAACTGACTTCATTTCTAATAGTGACCCCTGCCCATGGAAAGGGTCTATGGAATGGACTGCCTTCATTTCTAAGAGTGAGCCCTGCCCACAGAAGGGGTCTATGGAATGGACTGCCTTCATTTCTAAGAGTGACCCCTGCCCACGGAAGGGGTCTATGGAATGGACTGCCTTCATTTCTAAGAGTGACCCCTGCCCACGGAAGGGGTCTATGGAATGGACTGCCTTCATTTCTAAGAGTGACCTCTGCCCATGAAAAGGGTCTGTGGAATGGACTGCCTTCATTTCTAAGAGTGACCCCTGCCCATGAAAAGGGTCTGTGGAATGGACTGTCTTCATTTCTAACAGTGACCCCTGCCCATAGAAAGGGGTCCATGGAATGAGCTGCCTTCATTTCTAACAGTGACCCCTGCCCATGGAAAGGGGTCTATGGAATGGAATGCCTTCATTTCTAACAGTGACCCCTGCCCATAGAAAGGGGTCCATGGAATGAGCTGCCTTCATTTCTAACAGTGACCCCTGTCCATGGAAAGGGGTCTATGGAATGGGCTGCCTTCATTTCTAACAGTGACCCCTGCCCATGGAAAGGGGTCCATGGAATGAGCTGCCTTCATTTCTAACAGTGACCCCTGTCCATGGAAAGGGGTCTATGGAATGGACTGCCTTCATTTCTAACAGTGTCCACTGCCCCAAGAGAAACTTATCCTTCCAAGGAACCTGCAGAGTAGGGTAGCTCTCAGTGGGGTGGCAGAGCAGGAAGCCACAGTGATCTCAAGAATTCAGGGTCTAGAGGCTTGTGTCACCCTAGTGTGGGCAGGATGACCTCAGTGTTTTCCTGTACTCACAGGAGCAGCCAGAACCTACTCAAAGACCTGACAGTTTTCATCATGGCTCCTTTTCTTTTCTATTAAAAGTGGTTTTAATTAGGAAAGATTTCAAGCTTACAGAAAATTAAGAAGAATAATGTCATATGGACAAATATACCCACCACCAGATTGAAGAAATGTTAACAGTTGCCTTAGATCCTTTTGGAAAGAAAGTAAAACTACAGATAAAGGTGAAGCCGAAATGCATCTCCATTCCCCTCTCTGTCTTTCCAGAAGTAATTCTCAAGTTAGAAAGCAACTTCTCTGTCCCAATTATTTCTGTGTTTTTACAAGAGTAAACAAAAATATATGGTATTGTATTGTGTCTTAAAGAAATTTCATAAGCAGCATTATACTGCTCGTATCCTTTTTCAATTTTCTTTTTTTCTACCTAACCCTGAGATTTAACTACATTACTATTAACCATATTAATAATACAGATAGAGTTCATTCATTTTTTCTGCTATATACTATTTTATTGTATAATATTACTACAATGATATGATATGATATTACTCTTACTAGTTCTAAATGCTGTATATATTCTCTTGGATTTTCTTTGAAGATAACATTGTTTAGAAATAATGAGTTTTGTTTTTCACTTTCTATCCCTAAACTTCTTATTTCTATTTCTAGTATAATGTTGAATAGGAGTTGAATTCAGGGTTATTTTCTTATTCTTGATTTTTAAAGAGATCATAAAGTTTGCATTTTTAAATATGATACGTGTGGTAGGTTTTTTGGTAGCTATCTTCTTATCAGGTTAAGAAGGTTACCTGCTATTACCAGTTTGCCAAATATGTTGCAAAAACTATTTACCAATATCCATTCATGACTGACTTCATTAAGTTTCTTTTTCTGCATCTATTGATTGACTATGTAATTTTCTCCCTTTAATTTCTTAGTTACATCAATAGATTCCTAGTGTTAAAGCATCCCATTTTTTATGGAAAAGAAAAGACAGAGGATTATCCTGTCTCTTTTCCTTAATCATGGTGTATTTCTTTCTATACACTGCTTAACTATGTCCATTTTCTGGCTGTTTTTTTTTTTCTATGTATCTATTTTTAAATTCTTATGTTTGTGTATGTTTTTGAGGTGGGGGTTTGTATATTTTCCCCTCATATCATCCTTGGCTGGTTGTGTTATCTACACTATATTAGCTTTACAAAACAAGTTAAAGAATTTCATTTTTATTTCTTGCATGGAAGAATTTATATATAACTAGAATTATCTGTTTTATTAAAGTTTAGAGGATCCACCTGTAAAAACCATCTGGGGCCTATAATTTCTCTGTGAGAAAAATTTAAAACTATTAATTCAAGTTCTTCTTCAGGTATAACACTAATAGGGTCTTCTATTTCTTCTCAAATTAGTATTGGCAAATGTGTTAGTCTAAATTAGGGGTCGATAAACTATGGTCTGTGAACCAAATGGCAGCCACTGTCTGTTTTTGTAAGTAAAGTTTTATTGGAACCGAGCCATGTTCATTCATGCTCATATGGTGTAGGACTGCTTTCCTGCTACAGTGCCAGAGTTGAGAGTTGAGCAGTTGTGGCAGAGGCAGTATGATCTGAAAAACTTAAGACATTTACTATCTGATCCTTTATAAAAAAAAGTTTGTCGGCTGGGCATGGTGGCTCACGCCTGTCATCCCAGCACTTTGGGAGGCTGAGGTGGGCAGATCACGAGGTCAGGAGTTCAAGACCAGCCTGACCAACATGGTGGAACCCAGTCGCTGCTAAAAATACAAAAATTAGCATGGGCATGGTTGCGGGCGCCTGTAATCTCAACTACTTGGGAGGCTGAGGCAGGAGAATCACTTGAACCCGGGAGGCAGAAGTTGCAGTGAGCCGAGATCATACCACTGTACTCCAGCCTGGGCAACAGAGCAAGACTCCATCCCCCCCGCCAAAAAAAAAGTTTGTCAATCCCAAACCTGGATTATAGATATTGGCTGTAATGAAGACAACCCCCAGGGCAGTTCTTTAATGCAATGGGTGATGATGGCAGGGCTGCATTATCTTGTGGCTAGCCTGCCCACCTAGGACATGAGTGATTTTGCTTTCATGGTGGTGAAACTACAACATCAAGTTAAAAACATTCTCAGTGATGCAGTGAATCGTTTGGCAAATTGACATTTCTGGCAAATTGACTTTTGACAATCTAATTTTCAACAAATTCTTCTTTGAGGATACATATTTTTGTACTTGGCTCGCTTCCTTTGGAAAAACCAAGTGATGCTTTGAGTAGAATAGCACACCAGTTTTAGCTAAAAGGCAGCTAATTTTACTCAAAGATGTGTGTTTTTTTGGTAGATTTTTTTTTTTTTTTACCCTGAGGTTAGGTGGGGAAGGATTTGTCTTCATTTTCCTCCTTCCATCCACAGTTTGCAAAGCCCCTTGGAGTGCTCCCTCTACTCCTAAGAGGAAGAAAATATGGACCCCGGAAAGCAGGCAGAAGGGTTAATAACCAAGGGAGCTGGAAAGAGGGAGAGAGAGAAGGGAGCCCACAGAGGAGATACTCACTTAAGGTTGCCAAAGTGAGATGAAATAGACCACTATTAAGAGTCAAGGCGACGGAGAGTGGAGGGTGGGAGGAGGATGAGGATCAGAAAACTATGCTTATTACCTGGGTGATGAAATAATTTGTGCACAAAACCCCGTGGCACGCAATTTACCTATATACCAAACTTGCACATATACCCCGAACCTAAAATAACAATTTTAAAAAAGAGAATGCTTTGCCTGTTGTATTAGTCTGTTCTTGTACTGCTATAAAGAAATACCTGCCTGGCGTGGTGGCTCATGCCTGTAATCACAGCACTTTGGGAGGCCAAGGCAGGCAGATCACGAGGTCAGGAGATCAAGACCATCCTGGCTGATACGGTGAAACCCCATCTCTACTAAAAATACAAAAAATTAGCCGGGCGTAGTGATGGGCGCCTGTAGTCCCAGCTACTCAGGAGGCTGAGGCAGGAGAATGGTGTGAACCCAGGAGGCGGAGCTTGCAGTGAGCCAAGATTGCACCACTGCACTCCAGCTTGGGAGACAGAGCGAGACTCTGTCTCAAAAAACAAACAAACAAAACAAAACAAACAAACAAAAAAAGAAATACCTGAGACTGGGTAATTTATAAGAAAAAAGGTTTAATGGGCTAATGGTTCTGTAGGCTGTACAGGAAGCATGGCAGCATCTGCTTCTGGGGGGCCTCAGGGAGCTTTTACTCATGGAGGAAGGCAAAGTGGGAGTAAGCATCTTACATGGCAGGAGCAGGACTGAGAGAGAGAGGAGGGAGGTGCTGCACGCTTTCAAACAACCAAATCTTGTGAGAACTCTATCACGAGAACAGCACCATGAGCATGGTGCTAATTAACCATTCATGTAGCATCCACCTCCATGACCCAATCACCTCCCACCAGGCCCCACCTCCAACACTGGGGATTATCATTTGACATGAGATTTGGGTGGTGACACAGATCCAAACCATATCACCTGTCCTCTGGACTCTCTGTGGTCTCTGTGTGTGTGCTTGTGTGTCTGTTTGTGTCTCTGTATGTGTCTGTGTGTATATGCTTGCTTGTCTAATTACTTAAATGAGTGTAGTAATTAATGTCTATAACCTCTTGCCTTTCTTAATGTCAGGGGCATACTAACAGAGTTACAGGTCTAACTCCTCCATTTCACAGAGGAGGGGCGTACCAACAGAGTTGTAGGTCTAACTCCTTTTACAGGAGGGGCAAAGCAACAGGAGAATAGGTCTAACTTCTTGTTAGGAGTTAAGCCTATAACTCTATTCGTACGCTCCTCACATTAAGAAAGGCAAACTGAGGCCCACATAGGGACCTGGGAGTGCCCAAGGTCACCTGTTTCTAAGTCACAGAGCTGGGATTTCCCACATTTACTTGATTCAGAGACTTTCCAGAGGCCCTCACCCCCTCCTCCTGCCTGGATGCACATTCGAGCAGCCACCTTGCCTCCCTGCAGTTGGTGAAAACCACAGGGTGGGCCTGCAGGGGAGACAAGGCCCCATCGGCTTTGGGGCTCACCCAAACAGATGGCCCCGTGTGGGGAGAATGACACGGCAGAAAGGCACTTCACGCCCAAGGCCCCACCAACGCACCTGCTTTTGGTTTCAGTCTTTCTCTCTCAGCAGAATCAAAGTTTCCAGGGGAATCCCTCTTGCCTTCAGTGGATCGCCCCTCGAGGCAAGTAGCTTGAGTCACTCACCGCAGCACTGGGATGGTGGCCACAGGGCTGGTTGGCTGGGCCGTCTGGAAGGCGGTTTCCCTCTTCACGTCTGTCTAGAGGTGGTATCGTGCTCTGTGTGTCTCCTCGTGCCACCCACCCTCCCCATTCTCCTCCTAGTTGGATTGTTCTAAGCCACAGCTGTGACCATGCCATTCCCCTAGAGCCCACAGAGTGGCATCCAAACTTCCTAGCAGGGTATTCAGGGAACTTTTCCAGCCCACTGTGGCCACGCTGTGTGTCTTACACAATGGGGATGCCTTTGTTGTTTCCAGAGAACACTAGTCACTTTTGTATCTCTGTGCTTTTGCATAAGCTGTTTCTCTTGTCTAGATTTTTCTTCCCAATCTGGACTGCTTGGAACACTCTCTCCTCATTCTTTTCTTTAAAAAAGTATTTATTTAAAAAAATTGTGGTAAAATTAACGTAACATCAAATTTAACATTTGAATCATTTTTGAGTGTTCAGTCCAGTGGCGTTAAGTACATTCAGATCGCTGTGCAACCTTCACCACTATCCATCCACAGAACTTATCTTTCAAAACTACAGCTCCGTACCCCCTAAGCAATAACCCCCTAGTCCTCCATCCCTCCCCACCCCATGGCAACTACCATTCTACTTTCTGTCTCTATGAATTTGACTACCTTAAGTTACTTGTATGAGTGGAATCTTACAGTATTTATCTTTTTGTAACTTTTTCACTTAGCAAGTCTTAGAAGTTCATCCATGCTGTTGCATGTCAGAACTTCCTTCCTTTTTTAAAGCTTAATAACATTCCATTGAATGTAAATACCACATTTTGTTTATGTATCCATCCATTGATGGACACTCTGGTTGATTCCATCTCTGTTGGCTATTGTGACTTAATTTGTGGCCTAACATATGGTCTATCCTGGAGAATGTCCCATGTGTGCATAAGAAGAATGTGTATTCTGTTGTTGAGTGGAGTGGTCTGCGTATGTCTGTTAGATCTAGTTGTTTTCTTGGGTTGTTCAAGCCCTTTAGTTCCTCACCTGTTTTCTGTCTGGTTGTTCTATCCATTACTGAGAGTGGGATATTGAAGTTTCTGACTGTTATTGTATTATTTCTCCCTTCCATTGTGTCCATTTTGGCTCATGCATTTCAACAGTCTATTATTAGGTTTGTAAATGTTCCTCTTCATTCTTATAGACTCTCTTTGAATGCTGCCTCCTTTGATGCCCCCATCCTTGCCTCCTCCAGCCCTAGTCACTCTCCTCTGTGCTTTCACTGTAACTTGTACACACCTCTGTGTACCACATTCTGCTTTACTGAATAATTTACTGGTTGTCTTTCCAGTGAGTCTCAGAGGACACAGAATTTTGTCTTATATATGCTTGCACCTCTAGAATCTGGCACAGTTTTTGGCTCACAGTAAGTGTCCAGTGAACATTTGTTGAATAGACCTTTGTTATGGAATGCAATTGTGTTACTCATGTTCTTCCTGGGGTAAAAATAATTACAGTTGGAAATCCTCAGCATATCCTTGCCATAAGGATAAGGTAAAAGTGCTTATGGCCTCCAAGGTGCTTGTTCTTCTCCCTCATTTGATCCTTGTCACAACCCTATGAGGAGGTTGGGCAGGGGCTTGCAGATTCATTTTACAGACAAGAAAACTGAGGCTCAGAGAGGCAAGGTATCTTGATAAAGATGAAGATGGTAAGAGGCAGAGCTGGGACTTGAGCCAAGGCTAGTCTGGCTCCTGACCAGAACTCTTTTCTCTGTACCCGCTGCCCTTGTAAGCTCTGTTTGTGACTACCATGGCTGAGATCATGATCTCTGTACATGGGTAAGGTTGAAACTGGGACAAGTGGGAGCTGAGGTCTTTGCACTCTTTTCTTTTGCAGAATTTCAGGTTTGCCTTTGGAGGTGCTATAAGGAGTTCCAAGTGAATATGTGAGAAACACATCACTCTATCCATTGTAGGATGACGAACACTGAGTAACTTGCTCAATATGGCACAGGTAGGAGTTGGGGCTCCAGTCTGAGCTTCCTGGCCCTGAGCATAATGTACTCATCATTTGTTCTGACGTATCCTGGGCTGTCTTGGGATACTTCTGCCCAAGAAGGAGCTTTCCTTATTTTGAATTAAAATCTGCCCGTCGTGTCCACCCTGCCCCCTCCTACCTCTGTCCTCTGGAGCCCCACAGGGTGAATCTGCCCTCTCCACTCCTAACAACCCTCCAGGGATGTGGTGATATTGACAGCATTCCCCTGAGTTTCTTCTCAGGCTGAATGACCCCAGTGCCTTCAAGCTTCTCAGCTGCTTTTCCAGGGACTTGAAGTCCAGGACCCTCCCTATTGGGCCACCTCTTCCAGATGTACTCCCATTTGTCCATCAGCTGAGGCTGAGTGACAGGGAGGCACACACCTCACAGGGTGTTGCTGGGTTGGCAGGCAGAAAGACTGGAGGGGCTCTGATTGTGGCTTCTTTGAATAGATGCGCAACTGGCTGTCAGGAGGAGAGTGGAGGGGCAGGAGGAGGAGGAGAAGGAGGAGGAGTCAGCAGTGAGATGGAACAGAAATTGAGGGGCAGGGTTACCGTGGGCCTGCTTCTCTGGGAGGCTCCTGTTCAGATCAATCCACCTGGCCCTGTGCTGGTCACGGAGTGAGCCACTTGTAGGGAGAGTGTTGGACATTTACAGACCGTTCCCCTTATGTGTTTGGACATGGTGTTTTGCAGAGTCCATATTCTGGCCCTCTAGACTTTGGTTACCTGGAATTCTGTTTATAGCCCTTTTACCTCCTGCTCCAAGGATCTTCTAGAAATGGCCAGCTTTGCCAGCCCCTTGGTTGGTTTTGACAGAGCCAAGGGAAAACAAGAACAAGGAATGGCTAGCGAGGCTCCAGTAGGGCTTTTGGGTTTATTTTCACATAAGCTGATGATAGTAATTGCACTACCTTATAGGATTTTTGAAAGTAAAAAGGTGATGCATAAGTGCTTTGTGTAATGTGGCTCTGTAAAGGGCAGCTGCCCTTGGCCAGGTGCAGGGGCTCATTCCTGTAATCCCAGCACTTTGGGAGGCCAAGCCAGGCAGATCACTTAAGGTCAGGAGTTTGAGACCAACCTGGCCAACATGGTGAAAACCCACATTTATATTGCAAAAATACACACACACACAAAAATTAGCTGGGTGTGGTGGTGCACGCCTGTAATCCCAGCTACTTGGGAGGCTGAGGCATGAGAATAACTTGAACCAGGGAGGTGGAGGTTGCACTGAGTTTGCACCACTGCCCTCCAGCCTGGGTGATGGAACGAGACTCTGTCTCAAAAAAAAAAAAAAAAAAAAAAAAAAAGGCAACTGCTCTTATTTTTCATCCTGCTAGGGGCACCTGGTGGCTCCTAGAGATGTTCTCCTCATGGGACTTTGGGCTTCTGAGTGAGGTGTATCACTCTACGCTTTGAAAGCATTTTGTGGGTTAAGAACTGGATCAGACAGCGGGACTGGATTTCAGCCCTGCTCTAAGTTTTTGTGTGACCTTGGGCAAGCGCTTTCCTCTCTCGGTGCCTCCATTTTCTCTCCTGTGCCATGAGGAGTGTGGGTGAGAAGATCTTTGGGGTTCTTCGGCCCCTGAAGCTGGGGGATCTGGGTCATGGCAGGGTGTTACTTTCTGACGCTTTGACTCTTTCTGTGGGGAAGAGCATCTCCCACAACTTCGCCTGGTGCCAAGTTGGTCTGCTGCTTTTCTAGACAGGCCTCACTAGCCAGCACCTGCTGGAAGTGGGTCTGGAACTGGGAGTTCCAAGGCCAAGACTGCCTGTTCCCCTTTGCCTGAGGACAGGAGCTGGCACTGCTGCCTCCATGCTACATGCCCTGATGACACCCCCAGGAAAGGGACGCTGCCTGGATTGCTCTCAGGTTCTCTCCCTGCCTTCCCCAGGCAGCCTGAGCCCTGCCCTTAAGTCATGGGGAGAGTTCAGCATGTCCTCCTATGGCACGTGGCAAGACGGCAGTAAAACCCAAGCCCTCCTGGAAGGCAGGTGATCCTCACCAACTAGCCAGGCCTGACTCAAAGCCTCGCCTGCCAGCCCTCAAACCAGCTGTCCTCTGAGTTACTACACAGAAATCATTCTGCGAAGAATGGCTCAGGCAGTGGGAAGGGTCCCCTTACCAGCCCAAGCAGTGAGCATGTCCCTGGCTCTGGGGCCAAGGAGAGGAATGCAATATCAGCCTGGCACCAAAATGGCCTGAAAGAACAGCTGACTCTCAGTGGGGAAAGCTGAGACGAGGTCCTAAGTTGAAGGCTGGCCATCAGCCTCAGGACGGGGATTGCTGATGGTCTGACCCAGCGCCAGGGAGAGAGCTGGCTCAGACTTCTGAGGCCTAGCCCCTAATCCCACCCTTCACCAGACTGTGTGTGACCTTCACTCAGCTCCTGTCCCTTCCCTGAGCCTTGGCTTCCCCATCTGGGCTGAATGTGATGGTGTTTAGGGAACAAATTTTATGGTGTCATTACTTAAAATGTGGGAGCTCTATTTCTTCAGCCTTTAATAGAAGTGTTACTGTGAGGGGTACGTGTATTTCATGTAACTATCTGCTGGATTCCACGTCTTCCCTCTTCACCACAGTGCCCCTTCCTCACCGAATCCTAAGCTGAGCTAGTACCTACACCCTCGTTTTCTAGAAGGAAAATTACCTTCATTCTGGATTTTAGGAAATGATATGCTGGACTTTTCAGACTATAGTTGAAAGAGGTTTAGATTAACCAAGGAGATCTTATTTCTTGTTTCAGTTCTACCAGTGGAGTCTTGAGCTCTTGCCCCTCCTTGACTCAGTTTCCCTCAGAAGTATGAGCTGTTTGAGCCAGGTGATCTTGAAACTTCCTCCCAGTTTTGATTCAGGGTTTCTAGTTTTCCCTTGGAAATTTAACTCTGCCACCTCCCCCTGCGCCCCACCCCCAGCCTGTGTCTCACAAATGGGTTAAATGGGAACAATTGAGAAGTGAAACAACTTTGCTATAGACCAGCTCGGAAGGATAATGAAATTCTCAACTTCTGATATGGAAAACTGTTAGAAAAATGCAGCTCCTGCTCCACTTGTGAAAAATAAAAAAGAAAAATGGTGTTTAATGTCATCTGTCACCCACAGTGGTGAATTTTACAAGTGGTCATAAGCACATTCCCCTCCCCCAACACGCAGCAGGGGAGGAGGAGGTGTTGGGTAAGCAGGAGCTTTTGGAAAGTGCGTGTCCCCAAACGAAAGCCAGATATCGGGGCCAGGCCTTGCTGGGGTTACCTTCCCGGTGCAGCCATGATTTATTTCCCGCAGGTCTGGGGACCGTAAGAGGGGATTCCAGAAGCTTCATGTGAGCAGTGAGGACCCAGTATCTTGGGGCTGCCTGCCAGTAAGGCGACCTCGCTCAGTGCCTGTCGACACCGTCTGCTGATTGGGAGCTGGCCGCGGCCGCCCAGGCCCTCGTGGCCTCTGGGTCATGTGAGAGACTTGGCAGGAGCCGGTGCTCACTGAATCCGGTATTCGGGTGGAATCTGTGCCACGGAGCTGTCAGCGTGACGGTGTCAGCAGGTTCACCTGCCTGTGCCAGAGGAAGGGCCACACGCCAGGCAGCCTTCTGGGCCATCCTGTCATCCTGCTCTGCAGCTGACAGAGACACCCACAGTCGCATCACTCAGCCGTTTTGCTGACAGCCCGGATGTGCCTTTGAACAGCCTGCATTTAGGGTGCTGCGGGAGGAACCCTGCACTCCTGCTGCTGATGAGCTGGGCTCTGCACAGCGAGCAGGAAAGAAGGAGGAAGAGCTTTCTGGATGTCAAATCTCACGGGAAGATCCACAGAAAATTTGAGGAGTAAAAAGTAAACCAGTCAGCCGAGACTAGATCAAAGATTCCTCTGTGCCTGACTGCAGACCTGTGGTGACTGAAGAATGCTATCATTCCACAGCAAAAATGGAAAAACACAGCCAGGAGAATCAATCTCATAAACCTAATGTCACTTGAGGAAATGTTCTTTATTTTTAGATAAGGAATATTTTTGCAACTTTTTAATGTTGATTCTTTCTCTCTAGAAAACAATGGTGATGTTAGATGGTAGTTGGTTTTTGAACAGTACCCACTTGACAACCCTATGTACATCCTGTGTAGTTGAAAAAAAGTTTTACTGATTCATAAATTCCAAAAATCTAGGAACCATTGGACTCTCAGAGGACTCATGGAGAGTGACAGGAGAAAGGGCAGAAGGGCAAGGTTAGATGGTGGAAGGCCTTGCTCTAGAAGCTCTGTGATAGCAGGGAACCACACTATGGTAGCCCTGGGTTCTAGCACATGGGTTGGTAAACTTTTTCTACAAAGGGCCTGGTAGTAAATATTTGAGACTTTTGGACTGCACTGCCTTTGTGACAACTATTTTTGCCCTCTTGGCATGAAAACCTCCATAGACAATGATATGTAAATAAATATGTAAATGAAAAAGTGTAACTGAATTCCAATTAAACATTATTTATGTATGTATTTATTTTTGAGGCAGGGTCTCACACTGTCACCCAGGCAGGAGTGCAGTGCTGCCATCACGGCTCATTGCAGCCTCAGCCTCCTGGGCTCAAGTGCTCCTCCTGACTCATTTTCTAATTTTTTTATTTTTAGAGATGAGGTCTCACGATATTGCCCAGGCTGGTCTTGAACTCCTGGGCTCAAGTGATCCTCCCACCTCAGCCTCCTGAAATGCTGGGATTACAGGCATGAGCCACCAGGACTGGCAATAAAACTTTATTTATAAAAACAGGTGGTGGGCCTGATTCGGCCTAGGGGTTGTTGTTGGTTGACACCAGTCTAGCGCAACATCTAGTATCTAGTAGGTGTTCAGTAAGTATTTATTGAATTGATATGAATTGTTTCTAGCAGGCAAAGAGGAGACATTGGAGGTGTGTGAGATAGGATTTTAGAAAGATCGCTGTGGTAGACTGTGTAAGATGGATGGAGGAGGCATGAAACAGAGCCAAGGTGCTGGGTAAGGAGTTGTTACAATAGTCCAGGCTTGGGTGGTGAGGGCTCAGCCTGGAGCAGGGCAGGAGAGAAGAAGTGAAGGTGGGGAAGGGGCTGAGCCTATGTGATAGAGATGCATTTAAAGGAAAAAGGAGAAGCCACTCTGGCTGGAGTTGAAGCCCCATTCCTCAGGCTTTGTTTTCCATGCACCAAACCGTGCTTGAAGAACTCAGAGCCCTATTCTGTGTTAAAAAGACAGGCTCTTTCAAACCAGAATTCTGGCTTTCAAGACTGTTTTTGCCATGGATTTCAATAACTCACAAGTTGATTCTTTGCTTCCTATTTACATTTCAGCTGTGCCAGAGGCACAGAGGCAAGTCCTGAATGTCTTAGCCTCCTGATTTTGTTTTAGTAGGACAAGGACTGTGTGTTTAAAAAAATATGAGAATAAAAGTGTACTTCATACTTAAAAAAATATTTTCCTGGCTGGGCGCGGTGGCTCATGCCTGTAATCCCAGCACTTTGGGAGGCCACGGCAGGCAGATCACAAGGTCAGGAGTTCGAGACCAGCCTGGCCAATATGGTGAAACCGCATCTCTACTAAAAAAAAAAAAAAAAAAAATACAAAAATTAGCTGGGCGTGGTGGCGGGCGCCTGTAGTCCCAGCTACTCTGGAGGCTGAGGCAGGAGAATTGCTTGAACCCAGGAGGCAGAGGTTGCAGTGAGCCGAGATCGCACCACTGCACTCCAGCCTGGGTGACAGTACGAGACTCCATCTCAAAAAATAAATAAATAAATAAAAAATTTCCTGCCATATTTAGTTCTAATAAGAGGCATGAAGGCTTAGAAAGGCTGCTGCTCTTGGCAAAGGCACGATGAGTTGGTTTTGGACATCTGCAGTGATGGGAGGATGTTCAATTGGGATGTCCAGTAGCATCAGAATTACCACCCAAGTTCACGTGAGCAATGAGTCTGGCAGGGGAGCCTCTGGAGTGAGCTTGGAGAGAGAGGAACTCTGTAACAGTGAGAAGAGCCAGAGAAGCTGATGTTTAACCTTTGAGAAATGCCAGTGATTATGGGCAGAAGACAGAAGTCAAGGCAGTGGAGCAGCCACAGAAATGGGCAGTGCATCAAGATTGGGACATGTAACTGATACCAAGGAAAGAGACATTCTCCAGGGGAGGGACTTGGTTAGAAGCATCAAGCCCTATAGTTTCTTTCTTTGGTTCACTAATTCTAATTCCTTCAGCAAATGTTTAGAACTTCCTTCTCTGAGTCTGGCCATATTTCAGGAGATAGAGATATAAAATCAAACACAGGCCGGGCACAGTGGCTCACACCTATAATCCCAGCACTTTGAGAGGCCAAGGCAGGTGGATCACCTGAGGTCGGGAGTTCAAGACCAGTCTGGCCAACATGGTGAAATCTCGTCTCCACTAAAAATACAAAAATTAGCTGGGCGTATTGGTGCATGCCTGTAATCCCAGCTACTTGGGAGGCTGAGGCAAGAGAATCGCTTGAACCCGGGAGGTGGAGGTTGCAGTGAGCCAAAATCATCACGCCACTGTACTCCAGTCTGGGTGACAGAGCGAGACTCCATCTCAAAAAAAAGAAAAGTTCGGGCGTGGTGGCTCACACCTGTAATCCCAGCACTTTGGGAGGCTGAGGCGGGTGGATCATGAGGTTAGGAGTTCGAGATCAGCCTGGCCAATATGGTGAAACCCCATCTCTAGTAAAAATACAAAAATTAGCTGGGCATGGTGCCACATGCCTGTAGTCCCAGCTACTCGGGAGGCTGAGGCAGAAGAATTGCTTGAACCTGGGAGGCGGAGGTTGCAGTGAGCCGAGATTGCACCACTGCACTCCAGGCTGGGCGACAGAGCGAGACTCCATCTCAAAACAAAACAAAACACAAAAACACAGCCTCTGCCTTAGAAGCACTTAATCAAGTGAGAAAAAGCAATGCAAATGCAGCTGCGGTTCATTGTAAAGCCTCTCACAACAGTCTGACTACAGTGTGGCCCTTCGCTCTCCCGTCATCAGGAGGAAGCTGGAGGGAGATGCAGTTCTGTGCACCACAAAGTTGTTCAGAGACGTTTTGGAGGTACCAAGTTTCCCATCATCAAGATTGTTCAAGGTTTGCTAGATGACCGTGTGATGGAAATATTAAAAAGGGGATATAAGCCTCAGTTATGACCTTTCTTCCAATCCTGAGACTGAACCACAAATATTCTGCTTCTACTTCCCTTTCTCTAGGTAGACTCTGACAGCCATGATCATGAATTCTGCTTGAAGGGTGTGGTCCTAGGAGTGGAAGAATGTTGGGAATAGTCCCGTGCAGTGGGAAGGACACTGAGGGCACAGGCGGAGTCTTGTGTTCTAGTTGCAGCTCTGCTGTTGACCTGTGGTGAGACCCTGGAGAAATCTTTCCCCTCTCTGGGTCTTAATGTTTCCTTCTGCACCGTGGGAGTGAGACTAAGTGTTCTCTGTGGTCTATTCCAGTGCTTCTCATTGCTGCCTCTGGGGAAGGACCATTTTTGGGGTTATATCTTTATTGTGATATAATTCACATACCATACAATTCACCTATTTAAAATGTACAATTAAATGGTTTTTAGTATATTCACAGAATTGTACAACCATCACCATGCTCAATTATAGAACATTTTCATCATCCCCAAAAGAAACCCTTTAACATCAACACCTTTTTCCATCAACACCTTCACCATCCCCAAAAGAAACCCTTTTCCATCAACACCTAATCCCGTTGTCTCCCTGCTGGCCCTAGGATACTTTCTGTCTCTATAGATTTCCCTATTCTGGACCTTTCATATAAATGGAATCATACAGTATGCATTTTAGGTAACTGTCTTCTTTCATTTGGAACAGTTCCAAGGTTCATCCATGGTAGCATGTATTGATACTTCACTCCCTCCTATTACTGAATGCTGAGTAATATTTTATTGTATAGATATAACACATTTCATTTATCCATTTGTCAGTTGATGGACAGTAGTTTGTTTCTACATTTTGGCTATTATGAGTGAAACTGCTATAAGCATTGGTGTATCGGTCTTTTATGTGGAGGTATGTTTTCAATTCTCTTGGTAATATACCTAGGAGTGCAACTACTGGATGATTAATTACTTCTCTGATCTTACATCCTGCCCCACCCCCTCCACACTCCCTGTGCTCCAGTCACAGGGGGCGCCACCTACTTGTACTTCCAATTCTTCAGCCCATGCTTTTGGAACTCTGCAGTTTTGCCCACACTACTTTTTCCCCTGAGATGTTATTCCCTTCCATCATTTGGGGTGCAAGTCTTTTGTGTTACTAAAGGCCCAGCTTAGATGTCATTTTCTCTGCAAAACCTTCCTCCAGTGCTTCCTCTTGTGAAAGCCATACAATCCCATGTGCCTCTTTCACAACACTAGGCATTTTCTACCTTGGATTGCAGTTATTTTCTACTCAGGTCTTATTGCCTCTTCTAGACTATAACCTTCTTAGCTCTATCTGCTTTTTAGATTTACTTTTTGTTTTTGAGATGGAGTTTCACTCTTGTTGCCCAGGCCAGAGTGCAGTGGCACGATCTCGGCTCACTGCAACCTCTGCCTCCTGGGTTCAAGCGATTCTCCTGCCTCAGCCTCCAGAGTAGCTGGGATTACAGGCGCCTGCAACCACACCCGGCTAATTTTTTGTATTTTTAGTAGAGACAGGGTTTCACCATGTTGGCCAGGCTGGTCTGGAACTCCTGACCTCAGGTGATCCGCCCGCCTCAGCCTCCCAAAGTGCTGGGATTACAGGCATGAGCCACCGTGCCCGGCTCTAGATTTACTTTTATATTCCAAGTGCTTTGCACATAGCAGACCCTGTATAAATGTTTGAATAGTGAGCATTTTGTGTGCTTTGTTATTGAATTATTTTAAGACAGTAGGTACCTCTACGCTCTAATGGCTCTCAGGGTTGTGACAGCCGTGCACGTCTTCTCAGAATGAAAGCACATTTTCTGGGCAGCATTTGAGGGTAAGCTGAGCTGCCTTCTCTTCCTTTAGCCCATTTCCCTGGTCTCTAGCCTGACACGAGCATCTCAGACTCTTCCTCATGCTTCCAGCTAAAATCTAACAAATTACTCTGAAATACAAGGTTATGTGTTATGGATCCTGACTTCTTCGAGCATTGCTTATGACTGAAATTTATAAACAGACAGCCGTCTTCCTGGATGACCTAACAAATCATATTCCCCTAGAATATGAGCTCAATGAGATGTTTAGAGCTCAATTAGATGTTTAAAGCATCAGATAGTGCCATGGACTAGGTGACTTCCTGCCCTATGCAAGGTAGGAGGTGGCCTTGACAAATGGTCATCTGGTCTTAGACTGAACATTTCCAATAACAAATAAATACCTTCCTCCCAAGGCCCCTTGATGAGTGCGCAAGGTTTCCTTTACATTGGACCGAAATCTTCCATCCTGCAGCTCTCAGCCATCGTGCCCAGCTTGGCACTTGGGGCACCTCAGTCCACCTCTACTCCCTCGTTCCAGCACAGCCCTTCAAGTTTTGAAAATAGGACTGGGGCTTCTGTGTTTGTTCTTATGCAACCAGAAAGGCCCCAGTTCTCAACACTTAATAAGAAATAGTAAAAATTATAAATAAAAAATCAATAATCATACTTCTGAGTAAAAAAATAAAACCAAAATAGTACAATAAAAAAGTGACAATATTAAAATTATGGTCTTTAATATCTCATTATCAAGCATTTAGCATGTGCTGGGCATTGTGCCAAGCCCTTAATGTGAATTCACTCTTTCCACTCTCACAACAACTGTACGAGGTAAGGGCTGTCATCTTTCCCATTTGACTGATAAGGAAATGGACACTCGGAAAGAATAAGTAACTTGATGAAAGTTACATAGCTACTGGTGGAGCTACTGAGTGCAGGTGTGTCTTCTTCTTGAGTTCAAGGTCTCAATTCTATGCACACAGCCTCACTAGTGGTCCCTGCCATGTGAATGTGGCCCTTCCCAGGGAGCTGGATGGAGGTGGCTGGCCTTGCATTTCCATGGTTCAGTGGGAGGCACATGGGAACGAGAGTCAGGAGTCATGGGTTCCAATGTGGACACTCCTAGCCTAGGATATAAATCTGCACAAAGCCCCCTTCTTGCTCAAATCTCAGTAATGTAATTCTTAAAATGACTAGGCTAAATTGTCAAGTTGCTCTCGGCTGTGATTTGGACATTCCAGTCTTCCCTGAATGCGCTACACCCTTTCACAACTCTGGGCCTTTGAGCTTCCAGTCTTATTGCCTGGAAGTTTCTTCCATCTTCTACTACTGTACTCATCTTTAATAATGACTCATCTTTGAAGAGCTGATTTGAATAGCACATTCTCTATGTAACCTTCCCTGAACTCCAGGTAAGGTCAGCCTTGCCCCTCCGTGTTTCCTGCACACTTGCACAGGTCTCTGCTCTAGAGTCTGTGATTGTCTCCCGAGATGGACCGTGAACTTCTCAAGGGCAGAGACTTGTTTGTTCACCACAGTGACCTTAGCACGGTGCTAGCCACGTGGGTCCTTGTTTTTTCAAGGACTCTTGGACTGCCAGTTGTTATGACGCCGTTCAGCCTCACGCCTGCTAGATGGCGCTGCAGCCCACCAGAATGGAGCCCGCTGGTCTGCAAAACCACAGGTGCCTCCAGCGGGGGCTTCAGACCGCACTGGGAGGTATTTGGCCAGGAGCCCTGGAAAAGCAAAAGTTTTCGTTTTCTCCTTATCGTCTCAGTTTTGACTGCTGCTACTGAACAATGTATCTTTCGATTCCTTGAGGCCTAGGGAGGTGGAGGTCTCTCCCTTCTTTCCTCTGCCTCCTAGCAGGAGAATTTAGGCTACTCCTTTCCTGTTTGGACTGTTCCAGGTTGATTTATTGTCCAATGTTCTACCTGCTGATTTTTGTCACGTGTCACCCTCACCTACTCCTCTGAAAAAAAGAGGAAAGATACAATTCAGCACTTCATGGCAATATTGCTGACCAAGTGAACTCCTGCCATCTCTATTCCCTTTTACTATTGGCTAACATCTGCTTTGTTTCATTTTTCTGCATCTTCTTTCACTCTTTTCAGCATCTCACAGCAGCCCACACGTCTTTCTTCTAGCAGAAGGAAAGCATTATGGTATAGTGGTTAAGGGCACTGGGGCTGCTCTGACTGGATTTGAATCTTGTCTTTGCTACTTATTGGTTCTAGGACTTTGGGCAAATTTCTTAACCTCTCGGTGACTCAGTTTCCTCATTTGTAAAAGGGAAATAATAATAGTACCTACGTAAAAGCGTTGTCACGAAGATTCAATAAGTTCTTGGTGCTTTACCTTAAAAAGGGTCAATAAACACTAAGTACTACAAATGCTTATTATAGAACATACAATTGGAATTCATTAATTTGTGTTCAATGTACCCCTTATGTTAAGTTGTGAGCCCTAAGAGGTTCACGTTGGGTCTGTCTTGTTCATTGTTGTATCCTTAGCCCCCACAAGAGTGCCGGGAGTATGATAGAGGCTTCGTTAAAATTTTTGGAAGAACCAAAGTCTGTTCTGTTTCTCCTGTATAATAAAAATGAAACAAAATTATGATATATATTGTTTACCCATTTAAATGGTCTAGGATTTAAAATTAATAATACCTAATGTTGCCTGGGGCATAAAATGGATGCTTTCATTTATCGCTGGTCTATTATAAAATGGTAGAATTTTTTTGGAAGGCAATTCGACAATATGTGGAAAGATCCTGAAAAAAGTGACTCAGTAAATCAACTGTTAATCAATCGTTCTTTCTTTCTTTCTTTCTTTCTTTTTTTTGAGACAGAATCTTGCTCTATAGCCCAGGCTGGAGGGCAATGGCCAGATCTTGGCTCACTGCAACTCCATCTCCCAGGTTCTAGTGATTCTCCCACCTCAGCCTCCCGAGTATCTGGGATTACAGGCACCTGCCATCATGCCCAGCTAATTTTTGTATTTTTAATACAGACAGGGTTTCACCATGTTGGCCAGGCTGGTCTCGAACTCTTGATCTCAGGTGATCCACCCGCCTCGGCCTCCCAAAGTGCTGGGATTACAGGTGTGAGCCACTGCGCCCGGCAATTTGTTTTTATCTGAGTGCTCAGACATGCATAAAATTTTAAGTACAAGGGTGTTAATCACAGCAGTATTTATTCTATTAAAAATCACCAAGAATTGAAGAGAAACACTGAAATACTTTAATAAATGATGACATGCCCATGTGATGGACTATTATGCAGCCATTAAGTGATCTCTTCTGTGGAATAATTAATGACATGGGAAAACATTCCTGATACAAGCTTAAGTGACAAAATTAACAAAACTGGGTATACAGAATGGGCACATTGCTTAACTTCTCTAGTCTCAATTTCCTTATCTGTAAAATTAAGGTAATAATACTGCCTATCTCATGGCATTGTTACAAGGTTTAAAAAGTATTTTAAAAGGTTTAAATAATTTTATTAGTTCTGGGCATGTGAATAAGATCTCAACACTTATTAGCTACTGTCATAAAATACATATCAGGAAAACAAGACTGGAAGGAA
This sequence comes from Homo sapiens, assembly GCF_000001405.40. Taxonomy (NCBI): domain Eukaryota; kingdom Metazoa; phylum Chordata; class Mammalia; order Primates; family Hominidae; genus Homo; species Homo sapiens. The sequence goes on from NC_000009.12 coordinate 99,268,683, forward strand.
ATATAGCAGAGTGTTAATGGTGGTTAATCTCAGACGGTGGGATTACAGGGGTTTTAATTTTTCTTTTTATAAAGCAAAGTATGTGTAAAGCAGCTAATATAGTGCTAGACAATAGTGGGTGCTCAATAAATGTTAGCTAGCATGATTCTATTTTTCCTTTCTCTCTCCCTTTTTTTTGACACAAGGTCTCGCTTTGTCACCCAGGCTGGAGTGCAGTGGTGCAGTCATGGCTCACTGCAGCCTTAACTTCCTAGGCTCAAATTATCTTTTTTCCTTAGCCTTCTGAGTAGTTGGGATGGTAGGCATGTGCCACCATGCCTGGTTACTTTTTAATTTTTATTTTCTGTAGAGACAGGGTATCTCTATGTTTTCCAGGCTGGTCTCAAACTCCTGGGCTGAAGTGATCCTCCTGCCTTGGCCTCCCAAAGTGCTGGGATTACAGGTGTGAGCCACCATGCCTGGCTTCTCTCTTTAATTTTTAATAATGAACATATATATGTTTTAAAGCTATTTAATATAGCAATTATGTTAGTTTTTTGAATTTTTTAACTAATTAAAACCCCCCAACATAACATGTAGTCTATGCCAGGCTTCGTGACAACCATTCAAGGCTTATCTGGCAAGGTAGACTGACTGTGGGCCTTTCCCCTTCAGCTGGGAGCCCAGTATAACCAATTCAGTTCTGTTTGCATCATCTTCTTTTTAAGATTCCCCCAAATATTCCTTCCCTATGGCGAATCCTAAGTCATTTTTTAAAATAACATGTTCCTTTTATGACTCAGTAGTTTTCTCTGTTGGCCTTTCTTCCTCAGGCTTTCCTTTTTCACAACAAATTCCATGACTATCTTAACTGCTTTCCCCCGATTTTATCCCACACCGCACTCTCCTTTCCCATCCAAAACAAATAACAATTCATCTCTCCCCTGCAAATGAAGTCAAGATTGTTGATAAACATCATTTTTACCTCTTTTAAGTCCAAATAAAAATTAAGTGTATGAGTAAGTTGGGATTACAAATCAGAGAGGAAAGAATGACTAATCTGATGAAAGATATTGGGAAATTTGACCAACTATTTTGGGGAGAAAAAAAATTGAGATTCCTATGGCATACTATGCAACAAAATAAATTCCAGACACATTTAAAAATCATATCTAGGAAAACATGAAGAAAATATTGGTGAGTATCTCATCTCAGGGTAGGGAAAACCTTTTTAAGGACTTATGATATACAACGGTATATGTGTCTAAATAAACATAAAATCTCCTCTAAATAAAGTACAAAAAAGGGAAAACAAAAATATTTGCAAGACTTATGACAAAGACAGATATCCTTAAGATAGAAAAAGTCTTTACAAATCAATAAGAAAATTTGAGTACGTCATTAAAAAATGAGCAAAGATAAGCAAAGTTAAAAGATAAGTGATGGAGCATGAGAAGATTTTTATAGCACAGAAAACAGATTAAGCATTAATAAAGCACCACTGATATAAAAGTTTCCTCTAAATCAATATGAAGAGATGAATAACCCAAAAGAAAAATCAATAGAGGTTGTGAACAGGCAAGTCACTGAAGAATAAATAAAAATGGCCAACAAATATATAAAATATGCTTAACTTCATCAATGGCCAGGGAAATACAATTCTTTTTTTTAAAATCTACTTTCCACTTAACAAATTGGCAAAAATTAAAATGTCAAAAATAACCAGAGTGTTGGTGGATATGAAGGAAGCAGGAGCCGTCTTTTTCTCATTGGTGAGGATATATAAATTGGTAAGGTCTTTTGGAAGGCAATTTGGCAGTACATTTAAAAAATATTTATCCCCTTTGGCTCTACAATTCTGCTTCCAAAATATAGTCTCAGAAATACTCATACACATGCACAGAGATGTATGCACTAGGTGCTTGTTTTGAAAAACTGAGGGAAAAGGTATTCGCATTTGCTAGAGAACACTGACAGACGTGCACAAATGTGTGCATAAGAATTTTCACTGTGGTTTTGGAAGGACTTGAAACTATCTCAGATGTCCAGTAAGAGCAGATTACTTAAATGAATTATGTGCACCCACTTAATGAAATACCAGGCAGCTTGTAAAGTGAATGAGGTTGATTTGCATGCACAGAAGGGAAAGATGTTCGTAACAATAAAAATTAATGATGTTCATAATCATTACTTTAAAAAGCAACTTGCAGGACTTTAGGTGAGGTCCAAACCCATTTGTGTAAACAAAAATACAACTCCTGCAATCAAACTGTGTGCCTCTGCTGTGGTTGGCTAGGGTGGGCAGAAGCCCTGCTGGTGCGCTGTGTCTTGACAGCATCCTCTGCTTTTAAAAAAATCACAGTTGGGAGAGCTCTTGTCTAGGTAAACATTCTTTCTCTCTTTTGTCTGCTGGGTGGATTTGGGACTTCTTAGCCTTGTTAAGATGATTTCAGGTAGGACACTACCCGATTATCAAATTCTGAAGGTTTCTTCTTAGAAAACGATGGGATGGCCACTGTCTCTGTGAGCATTAAAAGGGACAAACCAGTAGAAGTTCCCAGACTTGTCTTGGCTCAGTAGTAGGAATTCTTTTTTCAACAATTACAGTGGATCATAAGTAGGCTAGGCAGGAGGGTCCTCTGGATCAGAAGGAAGGGGGAAGAACAACTGAAGATGAGACCGTGAGATCTGTTTGACGGCCCTGTCTCTCAAGGTCTTCTCCCTCATGTGAACTTGAAAACTGCTTCTTTGAGCTTCTACCTTAGCTTCCTATTTCTGCCCTTAGGGTCAGGCCCTTCTTCCTAAAGATAATCCTTTAGAAATTCAAATATAGTGTCCTGTCCTCTCCTGCGTCAGCCTCATAAGTTAGGAACCCCATGTCACTTCAGGGGTTCAAATAGAGGCTTCAGTGCCATTGTTTACAGAAGCTGATGTGGAGACCTCCCCATGGGTGAGAAACTCAACTGGGTGACCCCACTAACCCATGGTCTCTTAGAATCCCCTTAGAGTCTATGAGCCTAAGGTTTACTGGTGAAGGGCTTTGTCTTCATTATCCACTTGTTCCTGTGATCTTTTTCTGTGTGTTTCATGAAAGGTCTCAGCAAATGTTAATAGAGTGGGTACCTCTAAATAAACAGGCTGTAGAAAAATGGGTCATAATACCCAAGTAGGAAAGAGAGAGAGCTTCAATGGCTTCATGGTGCTTGACCGTGAAGGGAGGTCATTCTTCTGAGTGAAGGTCCCCATGGAGATAGCTTTCTCTTTTCTGTGTTGTGATGAAAATGGCTCTGAATCTACATGAGTGAATGTGGGGGCAGGGTGGGCACTGTGGGAGGGGGTAACAACCAACAGTCAGGGGTTTTGTTAGGAGTCAGATGGCTGGGTGGCCACGTGGGGAACGACTGAGAACCAGAGCACCCTGGTTTCCTGCCCGTTGGCTCTTCTTTGAGGACAAAGAAGGCTGATTGATTGATGATTAACACAAATTCTTGATGTCTTATCTTCCATTTGGATTTCCTTCAGCCACTCAGAAGATGAGGCTGGAGAATATTCTGGTGAAGTGTACCAAAACAGTTTTCTGGATTTTCTTTCTTTAAAATATCTGAATTTCATTTCTCTGAAAAAATATAACATTTCTTCAGGTATCATAACGTTTATAGATGTTGGTTGTATTGTCATAGAATTGAATAATTTTAATTGGGAGGAGCGGATAATACACACGTAAAGGAAATGGTAAAAATTGAAATTCTTTTTTTTTTAGGCAGAGTCTGTCACCGAGGCTGTTGCCCAGGCTGGAGTGCAGTGGTGCGATCTCGGATCACTGTAACCTCTGCCCCTGGGGTTCAAGCGATTCTTCTGCCTCAGCCTCCTGAGTAGCTGGCACTACAAGCACGTGCCACCATGCCCGGCTAATTTTTGTATTTTTTTTAGTAGAGACAGGGTTTCACCATGTTGGCCAGGCTGGTCTCGAACTCCTGACCTCAGGTGATCCACCCCCTTGGCCTCCCAAAGTGCTGGGATTATAGGCGTAAGACACCCATGCCTGGCCTGTAAAATTGTAATTCTATAAAATTGACCCAGTGTTACAAACAAAACACAAAAAACCAGCCATGTACTTGCATGAAGTGCTCTGGCTGAAACTCAGCCCCAGAGAATTTTGAAACACTTAGGAAGCTATTCCTTCCTCTATTCTTTGAACCCATTCCCTTATGCCTTCTAAGGAACTATCAGTAGCCCTTTATCTGCTGTATATGAAACTTTTCTGTCTTAACTGTATAATCACATTAACATGTAACCATGGAAAACCCCTTCCTATTTAAGAAGGCATCAATGGATTCCATTCACACCAGTATTGCCCATCTCTCTCCTTTCACAGCTAAATGCCTTTACAGAGCTGTCTACACCTGCTGCCCCATTTTCTCACTTCCCACTCAGTCCTCAGCCCCTTCCACTCCAACTTCTGGCCCCACTGCTCCACTAAAAAAATTCTTAATAAGTCACCAATCATCTCCACCTCATTGCATTCCATAGACATTCCTCTGCTTATCTTCCTTGACTCCTCAACAGCCCCTGACACTATTGACAACTCCGTCTTTCCTGAGACCCTCCCTGGGCTGTTTCTGATGTGCCATTCTCCTGGTTCTTTTCCCCACCTCTCTGGTTGCCAAGCAGTTCCTCATCTACTTATGCTTTCAATGTTGGTATTCTTCAAGTTTTCGTCTGAGGCCCCCTTTTTCCTTTCTATTTCACAGTCTTCCTCAATGATTACAGCTATCAATTTTTGGAACAATGACTTTAAATTTTGTGTCCCCAGCCTGCTGTCTCTTCTGAGCTCTGGATCTGAATATCCAACTGGCCATTTGCCTTTACTTGGATGTTTCAGTGGCTCCTCAAATTTATCTGTCCAAGACTGAACTCATGACCTTCCCCCACCCACCACCAGCATGTTCCTGATTGAATGTATCACCATCCATATAGTTTGAGGAGTCAGAAAACTAGGCTTCATCAGCTAGAAACCATCATTCTCAGCAAACTATCACAAGGACAGGAAACCAAACGCCGCATGTTCTCACTCATAGGTGGGAACTGAACAATGAGAACACTTGGACACAGGGAGGGGAACATCACACATGGGGGCCTGTTGGGGGTGGAGGACTGGGGGAGGGATAGCATTAGGAGAAATACCTAATGTAAATGACGAGCTGATGGGTGCAGCAAACCGACATGGCACATGTATACCTATGTAACAAACCTGCACGTTGTGCACATGTACCCTAGAACTTAAAGAGTAATAAAAAAAAATAGAAAAAAAAGGATTAGGGGTGAAAACATTGCAGGCAGAAGAAAAAAAAAAGATCAGGCTTCATCCTTGACACCTCCCTCTTGTCACTTTAACCTGTGAATAGCTCTTGAACGTACACACTTCTCTTCATCTCTACTGCATCTAAACATGTAAAACAAAAGGGGATGATTTGAAAGGGAATGAGGTCACCACTGGTGGTGGTGTCCAAGCAGAGACTGATTGGCCTCTCGGTATGGGTGACACAGCAAGGACTAGATGCCGAGATGGCTTTGAGTGCTCACTCATCCTCTGTTGCCTGCCTGAGCTGTGGGGCGAGCGTTCATCTTTCCTTTCTCTGAGATCACCCCTTTCTCCTGCTTATGCAGGCACTGCTCCATGAGGCCTAGAAAGCTCTTAGAGGCCAATTTATAATGAAAGTCCCTTTTAGAAGAGGCCTGAGTTCCCCTGAGCTACTAGGATCCCCAAAGATCATCTAGTTCAAATGGGAAAGCTGAGGCCCAGGGAGTAGGACAGAGACTTGCCTAGGTTTAACAGTGAACCAGTGGCACAGCAGAGACTAGGTCCCAGCCTCCTACCTCCTTCTAATGCTTTTATCTTCCCATCATTCCCTGCTGCCCTTCATTAGTACAACTGTCTCATTTAGGGCTGGTGAGTAATAATTTGCACCGGGTTCCATCAGATGGTAAATTACATCACTCAAGTGGGAAGGATGTTTCAGTGTTGCTCTCGCTAAAGTATTGAAGACAAAGAGTTATTTGTTAGGAACACAAACAAGGAGACCAGGGGCTGAGGAACAATCTAGAACAAAGTCCTGGTGGGTGCTTTGTTTGTCCAGCCACATACCTGAGGACCTAAAGTCTAGGTCCATAACTATGCTTTTAGACCTATGTCAGAAGTGAAACCAAACCCAAACCAAGCCAAAAACAATAACAAGAACCTCAGTGTTTGTCAGTTGGGACTTTTTGACCTGAATAACTGTCCATTCTACCAGCTAATGCATGGAGTTGGTTGAAAGGGGGCCAAAAATGTTTTTCATAATATTCAGTTCCACGGTGGATAAAGAAAACAAGTATAAACCAAATGAAATGGGTATGAAATAGTTATAAAATAAGACTTTTCCTGATAGTTTATAGGCCGAGCCTCTAACTCTATGCTCCGAGGGTTGCAACACCCCTTTAATCTTCTCTGCAGCATTTATTAAAATATTTCATAATAAAAGATCTTAAGAAAAAGTATAGAGACAAAAAACAAGGTGGTTTAGAAATGGAGAGAATTTTTCGAGACTGAACTGGATGTAGAGGTTCCTCCAACAAAGAGATTGGATTTTAAAATATTGTTCAACTTCTTTGTTCCTAAGTCTAAAATGACTTACACTCTACCAGTTATTAATGGGTACACATAGTACTTTAAAGTTATAGATTATGAGACCTAAAGTAATAAATGGCATTTTTTGACTTATACATATGTCATCATTTTCTCATGACTTTCCATTTTAAAATGATTCCTGATTTTATTTCCCTCATAACAATATGCAAATAGTTATGTTCTGAGGCTAATACCTCAGATGGCGGGCAGAGTGGGCATTAATTTCATCTGATTCATTTTTTCATATCTATAGAGTTTCATATTTTCCTTCCTAAAATCATGGAGGTTTAGGAAATCCTTTGACTCTAGGGCCTGCCACTCTGAGTTTTCCCCTGGCCATGTCAGGGCTTCTGTACCCTACCACTTCCAGATTCTGCATTATATACATTACATTGATTTGTGCTGTAGCTAGAATAGTGGTCAGGAAACAAGGAATGAGGAAAGTGGGGATTGCCTCTTGGGGTGACAAGGTGGGGGCAATATTAGAATCTACAGGTTGCAGGGTATGTAGCTTGAAAAAACATACTAAACATGATAACATAATTTTATATCTGGCAAACACAAACATAGATTCTTAGTAAAAACTACAGGAACTTAAGATAGTCAAATCTCTACGATTGATGAGGGTCACACAAAAATATAGTAAAAAAGCATTCTACATTAGCCCCAGGCCTAGCTGAGATGATGGCCACAAATATCTGAATCTCACAAAACAATTCAGAACGACAGAAGGATAAATAAAACCAAGCAAAATACAGGACTGTAGCAGAACCAGGAGAAAGAGAATGCCCCAATTTTAAATTGATCCACAAGTAGATAAAGAAATACTAAATTCCGGCTGGGCGCGGCGGCTCACGCCTGTAATCCCAGCACTCTGGGAGGCCGAGGTGGGCGGATCACGAGGTCAGGAGATCCAAACCATCCTGGCTAACACGGTGAAACCCCGTCTCTACTAAAAATACAAAGAATTAGCTGGGCGTGGTGGCGGGCGCCTGTAATCCCAGCTACTCAGGAGGCTGAGGCAGGAGAATGACATGAACCCAGGAGGCGGAGCTTGCAGTGAGCCGAGATCACGCCACTGTACTCCAGCCTGGGCAACAGAGCGAGACTTGGTCTCAAAAAAAAAAAAAAGAAAGAAAGAAAGAAATACCAAATTCCAACAAGTTGTCTTTTGTGCTTTGCCCAGTAGCCCCGTGAATAACAAGAACAGTAGGGGAAATGCAATGCAGAAGAGAAAAGAGAAGAGGTGGCAGACTTATGATTGATCTAAAACCACTGCCAGAAAGAAAAAATCTACCCTGAGTTGGAAACTACCAAAAAGCCCTAGTAGATCAGAGCACAGCTCTAAGGAAGGAATTAAAAAATTCATGCTATTGGAGGTGGCAGTCTTCAAAAGGCATTGCTTCTGAGGGAAGAGAATATGAAAAGGTAGGGAAGGGTGCTTTTTGGAGATTTGGTGGTGAAGGGGAAAAGAAGGAAAAGGGGAAATTTTATAGTCTTGCAATATAAGAGATAACCAACAAATCAGAAGACAGACAATTCCTTCCTCAACCTAAAACAAAACAAAGCAAAACAAAACACACACAAATAAGCCATTCTGGAAAGAAACTACACATTGATACACGGACATGAAAGGGTACCCCTGAATTAGAAATCAAAGAGCATTTATTAAATTTAGACAAGTAAGTTAAGTAAAAGACAAAATCATATCAGAAATCAGGACTACAAGGTACCCAAAAGAGAATCGACTAAATTAAAATTTGGATGGAGAAACTGAAGAAAGGTAGGAACAGAACCAAGAGAATAAAAACAAGATAAAGTGAGAAGCAAAAAGGGTCAGAGAGAAAGTGTTTGAAATGGTAGATAGACAGGCGAAGAAGAATCAGTGTACATATAATTGGAGTCCCCGAAGCCAACAAAATGATGGCACAGAATAAATATTTAAAACTGTAATTCAATAAAACTTTCTGGAAATAAAAGAAAACCAGAATCTACATATTGAGAGGGTCCATTAGGTACATGGAAAAATTTACCCATAAGGTCAGCTTCATAACATATTCTATTAACTATGAGACTTTAAAAATAAATAGAAATCCTTTAGACCACCAAACAAAAGATCAAAGGACTCATAAGGGCAATATAATTATAACTGAAGTTGTTATGCAGCAATAGATAACTAATACATATGGGTACATATACATTGCAAAGTAAGAAGTCCAACTTCCTTAGAATCAGTGGTTTAAAAATAAAGGGCAAGTATGCATTGAGAATCTCCGAATAATATTAAAGTGCAATTTTACCGATCTCATTAGAAAAACAGTGAATTTTTGTGCAAATTATGTCTTTCTGTGACACATAGTATGGGATCGTTTTCATAAAAGTGAAAATGTTATATGAAATAGCCCCTTTAAGCATAAAGAATAATTTTTTAAAATGTTGCACCAATGGAGACACTCTCATCAAATATCACATTTGCAATACTGCCAAAAATTACTTGGAGATAAAATTGAGATAAAATACCAGGAAACATTTTTTTTCTGTTTAGTTCTATAGTCAAGTGTCAAATTGATGTGTTAGTTGAAGATATCAGGCTTCAAGTTTTGCAAAAGAGCCAATCATTGCTCATTTTACTTTTAGTTGTAACAAATCCACAGAGGACAGAGATTGAGCACAGCCATTTATTTATGCAAGATATACGGTTAGAGATATATTGGAATAGAAAAGTGCTGCTTTTCAAAGCCTTGGATACCATCATTGAAGTTGATGATGTCTTTGATGCTGTGCCAAAATTATTTAAAGTCAATGAACTGAATGGGAAAAATATATTTATAGTGTGTCCTGGTGGTGATCCAGCAATGCTGGGTCTGAAATTAAGAGTTTTTAGAGGGAAAAGTTTTAAAATTTCATCTAATTTTTAGGATATATGATGACTTTACCGACAAGCAATTTATGAGAGGATTTCAGCCTTGCTATCAAGAGAGTAATTTTTATTAAAAAAAACTGGATAAAAGCATGATTATATGCTTTGCTCTGTGAAAAATTAAATATAGATAACAAAGGTCTTCTGTTCTATGTGAGGTTCATTGACTGTCAAAGGGAAATTTGCTTGGAGGGTCCTGTTGCCTGATTTTTGAAATACCAGAGAAAAGACCAACTGTCCATTTAAGAGGTGATCAGACTTCTAGTGGAGTTTGGCATATTTATTTATGAGATATATTTGAAACTTTTAATACATTGAAACTGAAATTTGAAGTGTATAAGCCAAATTAGTTTCATTATGTTATACTCCAGGCATTTATACCATCATTTCCTCCCCAGGGTGTCCATTACTCCCCAGTGAAGAACCTCCCTGGTCTGAGAAATGGAACTTCCAAAACAAGGCATTTAGCATAGACCTTAGGCGTTCTCTGGAATCTCCTTCCCCTTAATCTAATTACAGTCTGGAAATGATGAATTTATAGGTGGGAAGAGATTGGTAGTGGAGGTATGATGCACCCCTAAAGGTGGGGGTTTACCAGATATGAAGTCCTAGGTCAGTGGTTTTCAGACTTTTTGTGTTCATGCTAAATATTTGAATATTAGAAATTTATGCCCAACACACGAAGCACTCCCCAGACATTTTGACTGTCAGATTCTTTTTCTCAGAAACATAATGTAAGACCAGCGTTCTGCCAAACATACTTCAAGAGACGCTTTTCTAGATCCCATGAGCTAATACATATAGAGCTTAAAATAAAAACAGTGTGACCCAAGAATTAAACTTAGTTAAGATATCCATATGTGAAGCAATCAAAAAATAAAAATAAAATAATAAAAAAAATGAAATAAAAGGTCTTGGAAAGTATACCATTGCTAGGGTCTGAATGTTGGTGTCCCTCCAAAAGTCATGTGTTGAAATCTAACCCCACAAATGATGGCTTTAGAGGTGGGGCCTTTGGGAGGTGATTAGGTCATGAGGGGTCCATCCTCATTAAAGGGATTAGTGTCCTTATGAAAGGGCTTGAAGGAATCTTGTCCGCCACTTCTACCATGTGAAGACACAACAAGAAGTCATCATCTATGAGGAACAGGCCCTCACCAGACAGCAAATCTGCTGGTGTTTTGATCTTGAACTTCCAGCCTCTAGAACTGTGAGAAATACATTTATGTTATCTATAAATTACCCAGTCTTAAGATATTTCATTATAGCAGCTCAAATAGACTAAGACAGCCTTACACATACTTCCTCCTCTGAAATAACTACTCAGAGGTATTCCTTTTAGTGCTACTTATATTTGGAGCAGTAATAAATTTATAATTCTAAATAATTGTAGATATAAAAGTAAATAGTTTAGTCACAGGTAAAATGCAATATTATACCTTCTTAAAGTAATGCCAAAAGTATTAAATTAAATTCAATGGTAGAGAGTAAATAGTTAAAGTTGAAAGTAGCAATTTGTAAATTAGGAAGCAGAAAATCCAAGAGCAGATTTCTTTAAAACAGACAAATCTCTGGTAAGTTTAACCCATTAAAAGAGAAAAAACGTAAACATAAACATACACAAATACCATCATACAAGTATATTCAACATCATTGCATTGGCAGTTTTCATTTTGCTATAGACTTTTTTCTTTCTTCCCCCATCTCCTTTCTTCTTCCATTCCACCTTCTGACTACCCTTCTTTCCCAAAAGGATCAACAGAAATAACCTGATGTGTATCTTTGCATACATTGCTCTATGCACCTGTAACCCTATACAAAGATCTACTCATATATAGAATTTTTTGGTTTCTTTTTTCTAAAGCTGGATTCTTTTTTTTTAATTTAATTTAATTAAATTTATTTATTTATTTATTTATTTTCTGAGAAGGAGTCTGTCACCCAGGCTGGAGTGCAGTGACATGATCTCAGCTCACTGCAACCTTCACTTCCTGGGTTCAAGTGATTCTCCTTCCTCAGCCTCCCAAGTAGCTGGGATTACAGGTGCATACCACCACGCCTGGCTAATTTTTGGTATTTTTAGTAGACACAGGGTTTCACCATGTTGGGCAGGCTGGTCTTGAACTCCTGACCTCAAGTGATCCACCAACCTCGGCCTCCCAAAGTGCTAGGATTACAGGCGTGAGCCACCGCACCTGGCCTAAAGCTGGATTCTTATTAAAGATATTTTTCTCCAAATTCATTTTTTCTATGTCACTTAACAATACATCTTGGTCAATCCTTCAGGTTGATGGACACAAAAATCATTCTTTTTAATGTTTACCCACTTTTAGTTTCCCCCACTACAAATAATGCTGCACAAAACTTCCTTGTATTATATTATGTGTCTATCAAAAATATTTCCAGAATTAGCATTGCTGGGTTGAAGTACATCTATATTTTAAATTTGAACAGATATTGGCAGATGGCTTTCCAAGAGGGTTGTGGTAATTCACATTCCCACCAGCACTGTATAAGCGTGACTATTTCCCCACATCTTCACCAGCAGCTGGCATTCTTATTTAAAAATTTTCTAATTTTATCAGTGAAAAACTGGTGTCTTATTATTGCTTTATTTTGCATTTTCTTTACTATTTTTTAGGTTGAGCATCGTTTCTTGTGTTTATTGGTCATTTGAATTCCTTCTTCCATGAATTGTATATCATATCCTTACCCATATGCCAGTTTTCTCTTTTTTATGATTTTATTACCAAGGGGCAGCTCGTTGGCTATTATAAATATTTGCTCTTTATCATGTATTTTGTTATTTCCCCAGTCTCTAGTTTCCTTTAGGTTTACACAAATTTTTAGTTTTTATGTGGTAAAATATGCCCATATTTCCCTTCATATAATCTGAATACCCTGTCTTGA